>NC_000004.12:86497138-86648653 GCF_000001405.40 Homo sapiens | reverse complement strand
CGGAATCATCTCAAGTATCTACCAACAGATGAATGGGTAAAGAAAATGGGGCATATATACACAACAGATATTATTTGGCCATATTAAAAGAATAAAATCCTTTCATTTGCAACAACATGGATGGAACGGGAGCACATTATGTTAAGTGAAACAAGCCAGGTACAGAAAGACAAATTTCACATGTTCTCACTCATAGGCGGGAGCTTCAAAAATAAAATTGAACTCATGGAAATAGAGAGTAGAATGATGGTTACTAGAAGCTGGGAAAGATAGTATGGAGGGGGGATAAAGAGAGGATGGTTAATGGGTATAAAAATACAGTTAGACAGAAAAAATAAGATGTAATGTTCAGTAGCACAATAGGGCAACTACAATTAACAATTTATTGCATATTTCAGAATAACTAAAAGAGTAGAATTTGAATGTTCTTAACACAAAGAAATGATAAATGCTTGAGGTGATGAATAACCCAGCTACCCTGACTTGACCATTACACAGAGTACGCTTTTTTCAAAATATCACATGTACCTCAAAAATAACTAGTATGTAAGCATAATTAAAAATAAAAATGATATTCTGTTTAATCTGTTGAAGATCTCCATTGAGATTTTAAATTTAGTTACCATATATTTTATTTTGAGATGTTTTATTAATTTTTTTTATTCTGCCTGTATTCATTTTTGGGGGCTGCTATAACAAAGTACCACAGAATGGACGGTTTAAGTTAGAGAAATTTATTTTCTCACAATTCTGTACTTTTGTAAAAGTGCAAAATCAAGGTGCTGGCAGGGTTGGTTTCTTCTGACTACTCTCTTCTTGGCTTATAGATGGCCATCTTCTCTCTATGTCTTCTCACAGTTTTCCTTCTGTATGTGTTTACGTCCTAATTTCCTCTTCTTATAAGGACACTAGTCATATTGGATTAGGCCCCACCTTAATAACTGTATTTTAACATTATAAGGTCTTTGAAAACCCTATCTTTGATACAGTCCTATTTGGAGGTTATTAGGGGTTAGGACTTCATGAATGTTTGAGGAACACAATCCCATAACATTGCCTACTTTTAACGTTTTCTCATTTTTAAAAATGTTTTTTAAAATTTTTAAAATTTTTCTCATTTTTAAAAATGTTTTTAGTCATTTTAAAAACTAAATTCAATAAACTAATTTAAATATACTTATTAGAAAATTATATTATCATATATTATTTTTTAAAGGTGAGTAGTCTACTCCTGATGCTCTACAAAGAGAAAAATGAACATTTGGCTCAAAAAAGTCAGGTACAGCATTTGACTGAAAAACATTTTTCTTTTAAAAACACAGCTTAAAATTAGTAAGAAAAAATATCAAGCTCTAAATTTAAACAGTTTTTGAAAAAATGTTTGATATTCCTTTTCGTTAAGCAGATTTGTTAGGGAATAACTGACATACAATAATTGCACATACTAAAAGAGTACAATTTGATGTTCTGACATATGAATATGCCTGTGAAACTATTATGGCAATCAAATCAAGATAATTAATATATCCATCACCTCTAAAAGTTTCCTCATGCTCTTTTATAATTCCCTGCTTCATCCCCATCATCATCTCTCATCCCTAAACAACCACTGATCTGCTTTGTCACTCACTACAGCTTAGTTTGTATGCTTTAGAATTTTAGATTAGAATCATATAGAATGTACTATTTTTTTGTCTGACTTCCTTCACTCAACATAATTATTTTGAGATTAATCGATGTTGTTGCATGTATCAATAGTTCACTCCTTTTTATTGATGTGTAGCGTTTCATTATATGAATATATCACAATTTGTTTATCTATTCACTTGTTGACAGACATTTGTATTTTTTCCAGCTGTTGGTTACTACAAAGAAATGTGCTATGAACATTCATGTACAAGTCTTTGTATGGACACACAGTTTCATCTCTTTTAAGTAAGTAACTAGGAGTGTATATGGCAGGTATATTTAACTTTTAAAGAAACTGTCAGTTTCCCAAATGTAAAGCTGTATCATTTTACATTTTCACTAGCAGTCTATGAAACTTCCAGTTGCTGGCTGGGCACAGTGGCTCGTGCCTGTCATCCCAGCACTTTGGGAGGCTGCGGCAGGCCGATGATTTGAGGCCAGGAGTTCCAGGCCAGCCTGGCCAAGATGGCAAAATCCCGTCTTTACTAAAATACGAGAAAATAGCCCGGTATGGTGGCACACTCCTGTGATTCCAGCTACTTGAGAGGCTGAGGTGGGAGGATCCCTTGAACCTGGGATGTGGAGGTTGCAGTGAGCCGAGATCTCACCACTGTTCTCCAGCCTAGGCAACAGAGGGAGATTCTGTCTTTAAAAAAAAAAAAAAAAAAAAAAAATTGCAAATATTTTCTCCCAGTGTAGGTCTTTTCCTTTCATTCTCTTAATAATATGTTTAGAAGAGTGGATGTTTTTAATTCTGATGAAGTCCACTGTATCTTTTTTTTTCTTTTATGGATCATACATTTGTCTTATTTAAGATATCTCTGCCTAACTCAGGGACACAACTACCGTCTCATTTTTTTTTAAGAACTTTAATTTTTGATATATGGATATCCAATTATTACAGCACCATTCATTGAAAAGGGCATCTTTCTTTCTTGAAAATCAATTGACCATATAGGTGTGGATTTATTTCTGGATGCTGTTATGTTCAATTGATCTAGTTGTTTATTTTGATTACTGTAGCTTTATAATAAATCTTGAGATCAGGTAGTGAGAGTCCTTAAACATTGTTCTTTTTTCAAAGTTGTTTTGGCTACTCTAAGTCCACTGAATTTCCACATGAATTTTACAATCCACTTGTCATTTTCTACAAAAAAAAATATAGCCTGTTGGAATTGCACTGAATCTAGAGATCAATTTAGAGAAAACTGACATCTGAACAATACTGAGTCTCTCGATACAGGAACACACCATAGCTCTCTATTTAGGTGTTCTTTAATTTCTCTCAGCACTGTGTTTTACTTTTTGTTTCATAGGCCTTCATATCTTTTGTCAGGTTTATTCTTAATTTTTTCATATTGTTAAATTTTGTATTCCATATTTTACTTTTTTTATCATTTCTAAATGGTAAAAGTTGTTTTTTGCATATTGATCTTGTATCTTTCAACTTGTTAAACATCTATGAGTTCAAGTGGCTTTTCTGGATTCTATCAAATTTTCTACATAGAACATGCCATATTCAAATACAAACAGTTCTGCTTTTTTCTAATCTGGATGCCTTTTATTTGTCTTGCTTTATTTGTACTAGTCAGAACTTAGAATACAATGTTCAATATAAGTAATGAGAGCAGATACCCTTGACCTGTTCCTGATCTTAGGGGAAGAGTCAATGTTTTACCAGTAAGTATGATGTGTAGATACCCGTTATTAGGTTGAGGTAGTTCCTTTCTATTCCTAGATGAGAGTTTGCTTGTTTGTTTGTTTGTTTGTTTTTGGAGACGGGGCCTAACTCTGTTGCCCAGGGTGGAGTGCAGTGGTGCTATCTTGGCTCACTGCAACCTCCTGGGCTCAAGTCATCCTCTTGAATAGCTGGGACTACAGGTATATGTCACCACGTCTGACTAATTTTTGTATTTTTTGTAGAGATGAGGTTTCACCGTGTTTCGCAGGCTGGTCACGAACTCCTGAACTCAAGCAGTCTCTTCTGCCTCAGCCTCCCAAAGTGCTGGGATTACAGGTGTGAGCTGCCAAGCCCGGCGTTGAGTTGAGAGCTTTTTAAGATTGAAATGGATATTAGATGTTACCAAATGTTTTTCTGCATCTATTAAAAAGATAATATAGTTTTCTTTTTTAGTCATTACTATGGTCAATTATATTGATTGATTTGTGAAAGTTCAACTAATCTTGCATTCCTAGGATCCATTTGATCATGAGGTGCTATCATTTTTATATATTGTTGGATTCAATTAATTAAAGTTTTCTCAAGAATTTCTGCATCTATGTTCATAAGACATATTGGTTTGTAGTTTTTCTCTAATGTATTTGTCTGATTTTGAAATCATAGTAATGCTGCCCTCATAGAATGAATGAGTTGGGAAGTACATCCTTCTCTTCAATGTTCTATTAGTGTTTGTATAGAAGTGCTATTATTTCTTCCTTATATTTTTAGTAGAATTCCCTAGTGAAACAACATGGGCCTGGAATTTTCTTTGTGGGGTATTTTAAACTATAAATTAAATCACCTTGGCCAGGTGTGGTGGCTCATGCCTGTAATCCTAACACTTTGCGAGGCTGATGCGAGCGGGTCGCTTGAGGGCAGGAGTTCAAGACCAGCCTGGCAAACATGGCGAAATTCCATCTCTACTAAAAATACACACAAAAAAAATTTGGCCGAGCGTGGTAGCACACACCTGTAGTCCCAGCTACTTGGGAGGCTGAGGCAGAATAGCTTGAACCTGGGAAGCAGAGGTTACAGTGAGCCAAGATCACGCCACTGCACTTCAGCCTGAGTGGCAGAGTGAGATTTCTGTCTCCGAAAAGAAAAAAAAAAAAATCAATCATCTTAATAGATATAGGACAATTCGGGTTGTCTATTTTTTTCTTGAGTGAGCTGTTTGTATCTTTTAAGATGTCCATTTCATGTAAGTTGTTAAATACTTCAACAACTTTGTTCATCATTTTCCCTTATTATTTTTTTAAATAACTATAGAATCTGAAATCATGTCACCTGATACTGTTTTTGTAAACCTCCTGTTGCTGTATTGATAAGAGTGTTATCAATTTTTAAACTTCATTGTTATGTACACATGAAGTGATTTTATAGCTCTAAATAGGTGTAAGTTCATAATGATTTGCTTTAAAATAGTTACATTATTTCTGCTCTGCCAATACTAACTCCTATAAGTCATTTAAACTGGGCTGTTTCCTTATCTCTAAAATGATTAGACCGAACAGATTAAAATCTTTTCAGCTCTAAGAGTTTGATTCCATAAATAAAAGAAGTGTGTGTGGTTCTGAGTATATGTAGGTATTTCTCATACACACTTTTTTCTTTTAGTAGCAAGATAATTTTCCTGAAAGTATTTATGCAATAAAAGTAATTGTATAAAAAACAGAACATAATATTCACTAAACTTTGCTGATATTATTTAACAGATTTATTCCCTAATAAGATTTTTTAAAGTTGTCTATAAATTCTAATTTTTAGGCACTTTTTTAGGAGTGAAATTTGATATTTGTCTTAGCTTTCTATAGTAATTTGTCATTTTCACTTATAATAAGACTATAAAAATGAAATACAGTGAAATAATTATATAAGCTGTTCTCTACAATCTGATCCAAATTTGTCTTTCAAAGAATATAAGAAACACAATGTGGTCTTTCAATTTTTGCAGGACACTTGCTGGTATCTCTTAGAACTTTTTAATGTAGACAATGAACCTGGCTTGTTTTTAATATTTCTCTTTATCAAATGCTTTATTCTATTATCTTTTTAACGGTTTATTGAAATTACTCATTTCATTAATTCTTTTATTTATTAGACAGGGAACCAGAAGTGACTACTTATAAAGGGATTTATATCCTTGCCTAAGTGAGGGAAATTGAGTCTCTTCCTCTGACTAATCAATCAGTCTAACACCCTAAAACCTCAAGATTCGAA
Source organism: Homo sapiens (assembly GCF_000001405.40). NCBI lineage: Eukaryota > Metazoa > Chordata > Mammalia > Primates > Hominidae > Homo > Homo sapiens. Next base: position 86,643,024 of record NC_000004.12, on the reverse strand, counting down.
AGAGCTGTTTTCTGCAGAGAGCAACAGTTCCATAACAAAAAAAATTACTGTTTTGGACAATTACTACAGTTGTAAGCTAAGTTTTCCAAGGTAGCAATAACCTCACTTCTAAAGATTATTCATAAAGAGCAGGAGAATAGCATTTTTTTATTATGTAGGAACACTGAGCTCCTACATGAATTCATCCATGATATAAAAGCTAAAATCTTAAATGTATATATGTTTTTCTGACATAAGCTAGGATTCTCAATCAGTTAAAAAGGTGAAGTGGGCCAGGCGCGGTGGCTCACGCCTGTAATTCCAGCACTTTGAGAGGCCGAGGTGGGTGGATCACCTGAGGTCAGGAGTTCAAGACCAGCCTGGCCAACATGGTGAAACCCCGTCTCTACAAAAAATACAAAAAAATTAGCCGGGTGTGGTGGCACATGCCTGTAATCCCAGCTACTCAGGAGGCTGAAACACGAAAATCGCTTGAGCCCGGGAGGTGGAGGTTGCAGTGAGCCGAGATTGCACCACTGCACTCCAGCCTGAGTGACAGAGTGAGACTCCATCTCAAAAAAAAAAAAAAAAAAAAAGAAGAAGAAGAAGAAGAAGAAAAGAAAAGATGAACTGAAAGGCATACAACTGGGAAATCATAACACAGGAAGATTCTTAGTAAAATTTCCCAGAACTTTTATTTCAATAACTACAATTAACTTCCTAATTGAAGAAAAGCAACTCCTTAGCTAGGTTAAAATAAAAATCTAGCTATCTACCATTCACAAAAAGTACCTAAATTATAGCATAAAGGATGTGAAAATAAAGGAAGGAGGAAAGCTATACTAGAGATAGGAAAGGTAGGCAAGTGTCAACAAAAATGAAGCAAAGGTGGCCATATTAAGGGCAGATAACAGAATTTATTGCAATGACTTGTAGAAAGAAAAAAACTTACTTTATATTAATAAAATATCTTGTCCATTTATATTAGTCATTAGCCATCACATGTATCACACAAAATTGCGAAAATATGTAACTACAGAAGAAGACAGACAAAAATATAATCATAGTGGGAAGTTTTGACTATCCCTAGGAATTTGACAGATGAAGAATACAGACTAATAAAGTTTAAAAAAATTGTAAGCACAAACATTCACGAGCTTAAGCTATAGCCTAGGAATAGACAGTACAATTCTTTTCAAATGCCTACAGAATATTTACAAAGATAGATCATGTGTAAGATCACAAGAAAATCTCAAAAAATACTATCTCATGATTTCTCAGGGTAGTCATACAGATTGTACGTTTTAGTAACCACAAGGCAACAAAACTAAGAAACTTACACCAAAAGGGGAACCACCTTTCATCACCTTCATCTACATGTTAGAATTGCATGATTATCAAAAGTTTTACATTTTCCCTCCTCTGAAGAGAAGTTCATTTGAAGATGGTGTCTTTCAACAAGGCCATGCTTAGATATCATTATCCTATGAATAATAACCATAGCAATTTTGCTTTTAAAAATGGAAAGCCTTCGATTGCTGGGAGGCTCAAAAATATGAAGAAACAGATAATTTTCTTGGCTTTTGTTCAATAATACCCCAGTAGAAATGCTTATTTCCAGCCCCCTCTTATAGGAATGTCAGTAGCATGCTTGCACTCATATTCTGAAAAAGAAACAGGAACAACGTACAAGTTCAAGATGATAAGGGGGAAAAGCCATTGACAAGAAAGCATTTTAAAAAAACACATAAACTTCTTGGACACCATTATACTTTACCTGCTATTTTCCCCCCGCCACTCCCAGTGTTATGCATAAGGATTCTAAGAGAGAACTAAGACAACCACCATTCATCCATAAAATAAAAAAACTAATAATTATTTCAATTCGTTACAAGAGTCAGGAGAAGAACTTGGGACAAAAAGATATTGTGTGATCAAATATACAAAAAAGATATTGTGTTATCAAATACAAAGAATGAAAAATCATAAATTTCTGACAAATTAAATCAAATAAGCATTTGTTTCCTCCAAATAAATAGAAATTTCCAATTAGCAATCATAACAATTGGTAATCTTCAAACTGCCAAAGAAACCAAATTCAATCTCTCTGTATTACTGATAATACTCTGTGAATTAGACTGGAGGCCTTATGCTAACCAGCTCCTACTGGACAGTATTTAAGACACAGCTACCTCACAATTAATTTTATAATACATCTGGTAAGTCTTTTAATTATAATGTGCCAATATGTTATGCAATAATTGCCTCTCAGTGACAACACCTTTATATTCATTTGATCTCTATTAACATTATGAAATGTGAAACAAGGAAAAACCCTTAGGTACTTACAGTATGCAAGATGCTTTATATACTGTGAGTCATGGCCTGGGCAGTAATCCTGCCATTAGTATAATAAAAAGAGGTATTCTCTCTCCCTCCTCTGAACATCTGTAGTACTTATCGTCTATGTCACTTATTTGGCACTTTGTTTTGAAGTGGTAAATTTGCAGTTGTGTCTTTTATCTGAACAAATCCCTTAAGGGCAAAAGTGACACCTACTTATTTGGATCTTCCACACAATACCTCACAAGTAGAAGGTATTTCTTAAATATTAATTGACAATTATTAATTGACTGAATAGTGCCATCAACATATCTTTCCTTCAATAACACCTTTGGAGTATAGCTACATCCTGTATATTCTGGACTGTCTATACTTTCCAATTTTCTGAAAATTTTCTGAAAAATAAAGTGAAGCAAACAAAGAAATAATGTTTATTTAAAACACCCAGATTTTTGGTTAAGTGATATTAGATTAAATGAATAAATTTTCTTTAAATTAATCCTAACTCTAATTAAAGATCATCAAACATAAAGGTTATAGCACTGATGTGTGGGCCCTAACACTGTTTTTTCACAATCCTGTCTCTGAATTAAAAAACAACAACAAAAACAACAAAGCTTTACCATCTGTCCCCAAACACTCTTCCCCTGTCTCTAGACCTTCCTGTACTCAATCAGTAGTTATCCCTACATCTTTCCAGAAGGTTCCCATGGCTCCTGGTCTTTAGAAACTCTATCCTATAAATGGTTCTCAAACTTTAGCATGCATCACAATGTCCTTGAGGGCTTGTTAAAACACAAATTGCTGGGCTGCACCCCCAGAGTTGCTTATTTAGTAGGTCTCTAATGTGTGTTTTACTGTTGCATTTTTTTTTTTATACTTTAAGTTTTAGGGTACATGTGCACATTGTGCAGGTTAGTTACATATGTATACAAGTGCCATGCTGGTGTGCTGCACCCATTAACTCGTCATTTAGCATTAGGTATATCTCCTAATGCTATCCTTCCCCCTTCCCCCCACCCCACAACAGTCCCCAGAGTGTGATGTTTCCCTTCCTGTGTCCATGTGTTCTCATTGTTCAATTCCCATCTATGAGAGAGAACATGGCGGTGTTTGGTTTTTTGTCCTTGCGATAGTTTGCTGAGAATGATGATTTCCAATTTCATCCATGTCCCTACAAAGGACATGAACTCATCATTTTTTTATGGCTGCATAGTATTCCATGGTGTATATGTGCCACATTTTCTTAATCCAGTCTATCATTGTTGGACATTTGGCTTGGTTCCAAGTCTTTGCTATTGTGAATAGTGCCGCAATAAACATATGTGTGCGTGTGTCTTTATAGCAGCATGATTTATAGTCCTTTGGGTATATACCCAGTAATGGGATGGCTGGGTCAAATGGTATTTCTAGTTCTAGATCCCTGAGGAATCGCCACATTGACTTCCACAATGGTTGAACTAGTTTACAGTCCCACCAACAGTGTAAAAGTGTTCCTGTTTCTCCACATCCTCTCCAGCACCTGTTGTTTCCTGACTTTTTAATGATTGCCATTCTAACTGGTGTGAGATGGTATCTCATTGTGGTTTTGATTTGCATTTCTCTGATGGCCAGTGATGATGAGCATTTTTTCATGTGTCTTTTGGCTGCGTAAATGTCTTCTTTTGAGAAGTGTCTGTTCATATCCTTTGCCCACTTTTTGATGGGGTTGTTTTTTTCTTGTAAATTTGTTTGAGTTCATTGTAGATTCTGGATATTAGCCCTTTGTCAGATGAGTAGGTTGCGAACATTTTCTCCCATTCTGTAGGTTGCCTGTTCACCCTGATGGTAGTTTCTTTTGCTGTGCAGAAGCTCTTTAGTTTAATTAGATCCCATTTGTCAATTTTGGCTTTTGTTGCCATTGCTTTTGGTGTTTTAGACATGAAGTCCTTGCCCATGCCTATGTCCTGAATGGTAATACCAAGGGTTTTCTTCTAGGGTTTTTATGGTTTTAGGTCTAACGTTTAAATCTTTAATCCATCTTGAATTAATTTTTGTATAAGGTGTAAGGAAGGGATCCAGTTTCAGCTTTCTACATATGGCTAGCCAGTTTTCCCAGCACCACTTATTAAATAGCGAATCGTTTCCCCATTGCTTGTTTTTGTCAGGTTTGTCAAAGATCAGATAGTTGTAGATATGTGGCATTATTTCTGAGGGCTCTGTTCAGTTCCATTCATCTATATCTCTGTTGTGGTACCAGTACCATGCTGTTTTGGTTACTGTAGCCTTGTAGTATAGTTTGAAGTCAGGTAGCGTGATGCCTCCAGCTTTGTTCTTTTGGTTTAGGACTGACTTGGCGATGCAGGCTCTTTTTTGGTTCCATATGAACTTTAAAGTAGTTTTTTCCTATTCTGGGAAGAAAGTCATTGGTAGCTTGATGGGGATGGCATTGAATGTATAAATTACCTTGGGCAGTATGGCCATTTTCACGATATTGACTCTTCCTACCCATGAGCATGGAATATTCTTCCATTTGTTTGTATCCTCTTTTATTTCCTTGAGCAGTGGTTTGTAGTTCTCCTTGAAGAGGTCCTTCACGTTCCTTGTAAGTTGGATTCCTAAGTATTTTATTCTCTTTGAAGCAACTGTGAATGGGAGTTCACTCATGATTTGGCTCTCTGTTTGTCTGTTATTGGTGTATAAGAATGCTTGTGATTTTTGTACATTGATTTTGTATCCTGAGACTGCTGAAGTTGCTTATCAGCTTAAGGAGATTTTGGGCTGAGACGATGGGGTTTTCTAGATATACAATCATGTCGTCTGCAAACAGGGACAATTTGACTTCCTCTTTTCCTAATTGAATACCCTTTATTTCCTTCTCCTGCCTAATTGCCCTGGCCAGAACTTCCAACACTATGTTGAATAGGAGTGGTGAGAGAGGGCATCCCTGTCTTGTGCCAGTTTTCAAAGGGAATGCTTCCAGTTTTTGCCCATTCAGTATGATATTGGCTGTGGGTTTGTCATAGATAGCTCTTATTATTTTGAGATATGTCCCATCAATACCTAATTTATTGAGAGTTTTTAGCATGAAGGGTTGTTGAATTTTGTCAAAGGCCTTTTCTGCCTCTATTGAGATAATCATGTGGTTTTTGTCTTTGGTTCTGTTTATATGCTGGATTACATTTATTGATTTGCGTATATTGAACCAGCCTTGCACCCCAGGGATGAAGCCCACTTGATCATGGTGGATAAGCTTTTTGATGTGCTGCTGGATTCGGTTTGCCAGTATTTTATTGAGGATTTTTGCATCAATGTTCATCAAGGATATTGGTCTAAAATTCTCTTTTTTGGTTGTGTCTCTTCCCGGCTTTGGTATCAGGATGATGCTGGCCTCATAAAATGAGTTAGGGAGGATTCCCTCTTTTTCTGTTGATTGGAATAGTTTCAGAAGGAATGGTACCAGTTCCTCCTTGTACCTCTGGTAGAATTCGGCTGTGAATCCATCTGGTCCTGGACTCTTTTTGGTTGGTAAGCTACTGATTATTGCCACAATTTCAGATCCTGTTATTGGTCTATTCAGAGATTCAACTTTTTCCTGGTTTAGTCTTGGGAGAGTGTATGTGTCGAGGAATTTATCCATTTCTTCTGGATTTTCTAGTTTATTTGCGTAGAGGTATTTGTAGTATTCTCTGATGGTAGTTTGTATTTCTGTGGGATCGGTGGTGATATCCCCTTTATCATTTTTTATTGCGTCTATTTGATTCTTCTCTCTTTTTTTCTTTATTAGTCTTGCTAGCGGTCTATCAATTTTGTTGATCCTTTCAAAAAACCAGCTCCTGGATTCATTAATTTTTTGAAGGGTTTTTTTTAGTCTCTATTTCCTTCAGTTCTGCTCTGATTTTAGTTATTTCTTGCCTTCTGGTAGCTTTTGAATGTATTTGTTCTTGCTTTTCTAGTTCTTTCAATTGTGATGTTAGGGTGTCAATTTTGGATCTTTCCTGCTTTCTCTTGTGGGCATTTAGTGCTATAAATTTCCCTCTACACACTGCTTTGAATGTGTCCCAGAGATTCTGGTATGTTGTGTCTTTGTTCTCGTTGGTTTCAAAGAACATCTTTATTTCTGCCTTCATTTCTAACAAGTTTTCAAAAGATGCTAATGTTGCTGGTACCACACTTTCAGAACTATCACTACCCTCAATCCTTACTTATTTCTGTCAGGCTTTTTTGTGTCTGATGTATGCATTCAAATCAATTTTAGAGACTGATTCTTTAGATGACGCTTGGTTTTTTCACCTACTATTCTAAGTAAGTTTTGGTCAGGTGCTATGAATGGCAAACAACATCTTCATGTGCAACTTCTGGCATGATATCAAATGTTTTTGGACAACCAAAGGATGATTCTAACTTTTCTAACTCCACAATGCCGCAAAACCATTTGGACCAAGTGACCTCCTCCACAGGGAAACACCAAAATACTTGTTGACCCTATATCATTCTGATTTAGAGTAACACGGATGCATATATTATTCTACCAGATTTTTTTCCCCTCCCTCTCACCTGGTTAACTTTTCTTTTGGGTCTTAGCTTGTGTAGGAGAGCCTTCCTTTTCTGTGCCATGATCAAGTCAAATCCTCCTATTATGAGTTCTCAGAGAGTCACTGAATCCCTCCTTTTTAGCCTTTGTCATGGCTGCATTTTTTACATTTGTTTATACAGTACAAATGTGTTCGTGTGTGAGTGTGTGTGTATTTATTTATTTTTTGAGAGGAGTCTCACTCTGTCACCCAGGCTGGAGTGCAGTGGCATAATCTTGGCTCACTGCAACCTCCACCTCCTGGATTCAAGTGATTCTCCTGCCTCAGCCTCCCGAGTAGCTGGGATTACAGGTGCCCACCACTACACCGGCTAAATTTTGTATTTTTAGTAGAGATGGGGTTTCATCATGTTCACCAGGCTGGTCTCAACCGCCTGACCTCAAGTGACACCCCAACCTCAGCCTCCCAAAGTGCTGGGAACAGAGGTGTAAGCCACCGCACCTGGCCCAAATATTTTGTTAATAGCTATTTTCCACATTGAACTGTGAGCTCTAAACTGAGAAGAACTGTTTCGGTTTCAATCACCATTACACTTTTGCTGCCTGGTGTAATATTGGGCACATAGAAGATATTCAAATGAATGTAGATAATAGCTGAGCTTTTTCAGCCCTAAAAGAGATAAGGAAAGTATTCCTTTCATACTCTGCCAAAGGCACAGGAATAATGAAACAAAAATCTAATCTCTGACCCTGTATCTGTTTTTTAAGTACCCAATACTGAAACAACAACAACAACAGCAGCAGCAGCAGCAGCTTACCTTTTCTGAATAATTCTTGGAGACTTTCAGCACTTTGATTTAATACAGCCCATATTTCTTCCTCCTGAAGTGGTCCACCCCGAACCTCCAGGGCCTCAGCTAGTGACACGTGCATATTACCTGGGAAACAAAGGTAACAGATGGTCTATGCATCAGCAACTTAACTATACTTGCAGTAGTAAAAGCTCTACATCAGTGATGACAGACTATAAGCCCCCTGTCTACCTAATTTCTCAATATGGCTACCAATCTAAATGTTATCTTAAACTCACAGAAGGTAAAGGAATTGGAGGGAAAAACCCTCAAAACAACCACTTGCCCTAGCCCAACACGGTCAACTTCAGAGACAGAACTGGAGAATGGGGGTGGTGACTGCTTTACGGAAAAAGGAAGAGACCCCAGGGTACTAGGAGGCACCAAAATACAGATCATAAACCAAAGCAGTCAGACTGAACTGAAGGCCTTTCAGATTTCTGTTCCAGGTTTCATCCTATCCATCCCAGATATAAAAGTAGAGAGAAATAGAGAGGAGAACCTACAGCCATGGTAGGGGAAGTTGGGAATAAGATGGAACACATTTCTTTCATTCTTTAGTTGATTTCTATTATCTCCAATATATATACTATAACTGTATATTTTGCACTAAATGCAATTAAGTATTTCCAGACCCAGCTTTGTTGGCAACTCACCATTTTCCCTGGGAGAGTCACTTTTCCTTTAAACCTCTGTTTCCCTATTGTAACACAGGAATGATAGTAACAATAAAAATGTCATTTTGGGTGGCTATGACAAGGGAAGTGGCTATGCTTGTGAACATGCTTTGATATATGATTCTACAGAAGGTGAATTAATAAAAGATCAGATAAGTGTCTGTGCTGAAATTTTTGTCAGGTCAATTTTTCCAATGGCGTTCAGTTAAGTGATGATATACTGATAAAACTTAAGATTTTCTATGGGGCTTAATAAGCCTATTTTCATGTTAAAAGAGGAAAATGTAACTAGTTAAAATCCTTCTATATAAATTTTCCTAAATTGACACAGCTTGAAAATTGTTCTTTAGAGTGATTCATAAGATTTCTACCCAGACAAAACCAATTTAAGCATAACATATATAGTATATTTCTACTGTAAGGGAGAAGCAGATTTGGAAAAGAAGCCAAATAAGGAGTTTAAAAGTTAACCTATAAAAACATCTGTTTTAGATAAAAGTTGACTTTGTTTACTCAACTAACAAGACAAGCTACTATTTTCTTTTAATTTACATTTATGGTACTTAATCCTGACTGAAAAAAGCAATTCCAACTATAAATGAGGCCAGTCTTGTCCTTTCACTTTCCTTTTTAAATGTTTACTAAAACATTTTATGCTTAAAGTCTGCCTCCAGGGTGTCTACTTATATACACAATGTGAAAGTTAAAAGGAAACTATAAGATACTGCTTTAAAAAAGCCAAAAGCGTTTTTACTTAGGTTGTACAAGAAGTGCGATTATTTATTTAGATCCCCTGCCTGCACCAAAGTCTCTAGGTTCTCATTGACTTTATTATATAATAGCATATTTATTCAAGAGAAAAAAGTAGAAGCTTCATTCCTTTCTAAAGATATGTGAGTTATCTTCTACATGAAAAATATTGATAAATTGGAAGTTTCAACAGAGGGATCAGATAATATTAGCAATCAGATACCAACATGACTTGTGTGAAGGACTACCCTGTAGCAAATTTCCAAAGTAATATGTCTGAGAACTGGTTAGATAGCTCTAACGCATATACTCAGGGTATAAAGAGTAGAGCAAAGATAGAACAAGAATTTCTTTGAAGAGAGTTGTGTGCTGATTTTCATGTCTCCTCCAAAGTGGGAGGGATGTGGAAAGGTGCCTTCCTTTCACCTCAAGCCAGTGAAAGAAGCTTTAATGGGACCCCTGGGAGTCCTTGATATATGTTCTCTGGAGTTAGTGGAGGGCACATCAGGCAGTGCCTAATACACACTTTAGGAATCTAAAGGTGTTGCCTATCACTCTGAGGCAGCAACATGAGGTAGACAGGAGAGGGAGGGCACACAAGAGTGAGGAGACATACTGTATCAGAAGCCAGCTATACTTCCACTGCTCAGGGTAAGAGAGGGGCAAGGAAGCACGGCCACACAGAGGGCCAGCTTGGACCTATATGAAATCCTACCCAGAGGATTAAAATGTCCTAAAATTTAGATAGTGGCAATGGTTGCACAAAAATTCTAAAAATAACTAAAGGTACACTTTATAAGGGTGAAGGCTGAGCATAGTGGCTTAAGCCTGTAATCCCAGCAATTTGGGAGGCTAAGGTAGGAGGATCGCTTCAGGCCAGAAGTTCAAAACCAGCCTGGACAACATGGGGAGACCCTCATCTCTACAAAAAATAAAATCAGCCGGGCATGGTGGTGCCTACTGTAGTCCTACCTATTAAGGAGGCTGAAAAGGGAGGCTCGCTTGAGCCCAGGAGTCTGAGGTTACAGTGAGCTATGATCATGCTTCTGTACTCCAGCCTGGTTGACAGAGTGAGACCGTTTCTAAAAAACTAAAAAGAATTTTTTTAAAGGGTAAGTTTTATTGTATGTGAAGTATATCTCGAAAAGCTGTTTAAAAAATTCTACCCAGAGTTCCACCTGAAGTACCCAGACCACCACCAAGAAAAAGGAAGAAGGGAGGAGGCGCAGGGGGAGGAGGGGAAAAGGAGAGAAGGGAAAGAAGAGGAGAAAGAGAAAGAAGAAGGATTCAAATTAGAATTATTTCTACTGTGGAATGGCCTGAAAGAAAACTAGGCTGAGGGCTAGAGGGGTTAGGGGTTACTGGCTAGTTGGAGGGAAAAATTCTGGAGTGTCACATGTAGTGTAGTTCCAGTGAAGGATTGTGAAGAACCCACAAAAGCACACCGAAGAAAAAGGGCCAGCCTTAAACACATATCAAGTTCAAAAACAGTAAAGCAATTTCACAACAGGAGTGTGGGAAAAACAACAACAAAAACTGTTTGCCTTGCTTTCTCTCTTCCTTCCCCTGGTTTAGATCCTGATGGGGTCAGATATAGCAACTTGCCAGTGGGTGAGGAGATAAGCAACAAAAAGAGAAGCTAATCACACTGTCTTCCATCTATAGATAATCTTAGCTAGGGAAGGGAAAAGTTTTAGCTCTGAATGGACATTGAAAGGTTGATTAATATACTGACTAGGTACTTTTAATTATGGAGTTTAAGTGACTGTAGTCATTAGTATTACCAAAGGGCAAGGAGGGAATTATGAATCTGGGTTTTTATATAGAGGCAGAACTTCCTCTGGTGATATAAGGAAGGATGGAAGGACAAAAGGAAGGAGAACAAAATTAGGTTGCTTATGATGATATGTTATGTATCCCATTGTAAAACCAGTATGTTGGCTTTATACATACATACACACATATATTTATGTGTATATATAGAGAGCACAAGAGACAGACTAGGTTTTAAATCTTAAGATACTGTTTTTCCTTACTTTTTAAAAATAAATTGGGTTTTAAAATATAATTATTCCCTATAAATAAAAAAATGAAAAGGTTAAAAGTAACTTCTCACACAATAGAATTTTTTCAGCAATTAATTTTTCTAGCTACAAAGATTGCTAATTATACCTCTGTTGCTTGATTGAATCGGGTACGAATTATATCAATACCGTGTTAATTTTTATTTAAACTTTTTTTGTATATTCAATATGGGATCTTTATGAACATTTCTGGTTAGAACTTCTTAGAACTCCAAAACATAGAAAGGAACATTTGTTTTTCAAAGTTATCATCAAGCTATCAGAATAGATTTAATATTTTTAATTTACAGCTTTGCTAGGCAAGAACTTAAAGATTTTTTTAAAACTGCCTCATTCTAATTACCCAATGTCAGAATTTAATGTAGTATTACAGCAGCTTTCTAGAAAACAAACAACAAAGCTATCAGCTTATAAATTGCCTACTAGCACCATCTTTCTCTCTCACATGTTTATTTTACTGTTATAGCACTTCAGATCATTAGCTCCGAAGATAACAAGGGAATGAAAGAAATGCAGAAGCTGAAGAGGAATGCAAAAAAGAAAAAAGAAAATGGAGGGAAAAAAGCTTGAAGTCAACCAACAGATGAGGACAGAATTAGTTACAAAAATTTTTTAAAGCCTATTGCTTCAATTGTTTCCTTTAGACACAGTACTAGGTAACTTGGGAGTACAGATATATAACAGACGTTATCACATTAACCTATCACAAAGGTTAAATTTTACAATAAACATAGCCATATTATTTACTTTTATTCTCTTGAAGGTTATATGCTGCATGATAACTAGAAAGTTTTTGGAAAAAAATTTCAAATAAGAAAAATTAATTCTATCACATAACCAGAATCATTATTATGTTTTTGGTTAACACAGGTATTACTGACATGACCTTAAAACTGCTCACAGAGACAAAGCCACAAGGAGATTCTAACAGATGTCATTTTAATCCTGAAGGATTGTGGCACGCACAGCTAGTACATACCAGTGATTGAGAACAGAATGAACAGTAAACAGATTAACTAAATCCAATCAAGTGATAAAATAACCTGTCTGGAGACAGATTAATTAGGAATGTTTAACTTGAATCTAAAGAAATAGGGCTAATAGAAACATGCTGTTTCAAGAACAAAGCAGCTATAAAATGGAGCTCTGTGTATGCCACTAGTTTGAGCAAGGATTCACTCACCATCCAGGCTAAGGACATCTTTGGTCATTAAAAAACCACAGTGAGTTGAGAAGGCAACCCCAAAATTGTAAGCATCTTTTCATCCAGGAAGATTCAGAATTAAGTATAGAAAAGTTTGAGACACAGCCCATATATTAGTATTTTTTAAAATTAAAGAATCTGTACATATATAGTATCTTAGCTAGGAGAAATAGGTGAGTTAGAATAACAGATTCGCATGGTGATTCCAATTTAAATAGTGTAATGAGAAAATGGTTGAGGCTTGTATTTTAAAACATACAAAATGCCACTGGAACATACAAGAGACCCTTAAAGGCTTGCTATACATAAGTCTTACTATATAAGTTTTCATTCATTAGAAGACTTATTTGGGTACTTGGGAAGGTTTTTTCTGTCAGTCAGATACAAGAAATACTTTAAAAATTGGCTTTTAATTGTATGAATGCAGTTTAAAGTGTTTATGGGATGTTAACTGACTAAATTTGAAAATGAGATTATACACTCAAAGGGTCCCTTGAAATTTTCTGCATGTATAAATAGAAAAAATAATTAAATTGACCTTAAAAGCTTAAGAACTATGGCCAGGTGCAGTGACTTATGCCTGTAATCCCAGCACTTTGGGAGGCCAAGGTGAGAGGATCACTTGAGTCCAGGGGTTCAAGACTGCCTGGGCAATACAGCGATACCTCGTCTCTATATATAATAATGCTTTTTAAAAAAATTAGCTGAACATGATGGTGCGTGCCTGTAGTCCCAGCTACCTGAGAGGTTGAGATGGGAGGATTGCTTGAGCCTGGGAGGTGGAGACTGCAATGCTATAATTGCACCACTCCACTCCAGCCTGGGCAACAGAGCAAGACCCCATTAAAAAAAAAGTAAGACATAGGTTTTAGAATTTTTAATGTAATAAGAATGTTCATTTAAAAATAATTTTCAATAAGCTTTTCTGCACACAATAAGGTCTTGAAGGCCATTAAAAAGTTAGGAGAAAATTATGGTGACTTCAGTTAGCCAATGTTTTTGTAGATATGAAAACAAATGCATGACCCAGATTAGAAAAACAAAATTGATAAACTGGAATTCATCAAAATTAAACATCTTTGCTATTTGAAAAGAAAGAACTGTTAAAAAATGAACCACAGTCCCACCAACAGTGTAAAAGTGTTCCTATTTCTCCACATCCTCTCCAGCACCTGTTGTTTCCTGACTTTTTAATGATTGCCATTCTAACTGGTGTGAGATGATATCTCATAGTGGTTTTGATTTGCATTTCTCTGATGGCCAGTGATGATGAGCATTTCTTCATGTGTTTTTTGGCTGCATAAATGTCTTCTTTTGAGAAGTGTCTGTTCATGTCCTTCGCCCACTTTTTGATGGGGTTGTTTGTTTTTTTCTTGTAAATTTGTTTGAGTTCATTGTAGATTCTGGATATTAGCCCTTTGTCAGATGAGTAGGTTGCGAAAATTTTCTCCCATGTTGTAGGTTGCCTGTTCGCTCTGATGGTAGTTTCTTTTGCTGTGCAGAAGCTCTTGAGTTTAATTAGATCCCATTTGTCAATTTTGGCTTTTGTTGCCATTGCTTTTGGTGTTTTGGACATGAAGTCCTTGCCCACGCCTATGTCCTGACTGGGTATATACCCAAAGGACTATAAATCATGCTGCTATAAAGACACATGCACACGTATGTTTATTGCGGCACTATTCACAATAGCAAAGACTTGGAACCAACCCAAATGTCCAACAATGATAGACTGGTTTAAGAAAATGTGGCACATATACACCATGGAATACTATGCAGCCATAAAAAATGATGAGTTCATGTCCTTTGTAGGGACATGGATGAAATTGGAAACCATCATTCTCAGTAAACTATCGCAAGAACAAAAAACCAAACACCGCATGTTCTCACTCATAGGTGGGAATTGAACAATGAGATCACATGGACACAGGAAGGGGAATATCACACTCTGGGGACTGTGGTGGGGTCGGGGGAGGGGGGAGGGATAGCATTGGGAGATATACCTAATGCTAGATGACACGTTAGTGGGTGCAGCGCACCAGCATGGCACATGTATACATATGTAACTAACCTGCACAATGTGCACATGTACCCTAAAACTTAGAGTATAATAAAAAAAAAAATTAAAAAAAAAAATGAACCACAAACTAAGGAAAAATACTGCAAATCATATAACTGATAAAGGACTTATATCCAGAATATATAATTAAAAAACCAAACAATCCAGTTTTTTTTAGATTTGAATGGACATCAGAGAAGATATACGGCTGGCAAATGAGCACATGAAACAATTCTCAACATCATTAGTCATTAGGAAAATAAAAATAAAACAATGAGATATGACTACATAGCTATGAGGATATCTAAAATTAAAAAGATTAACCACAATGTGTTGACAAAGCATACTAAGTATTGACAAAGATGTAGAGAAACTGGAATTTTCATACGTTGCTAGTGGGAATGTAAAATGGCACACTTTGGAAAACTGTTAATATAGTTTCTTAAAAAGTTAAATATACACTTAACATATGACCTAGCCATTCCATGCCAAGCTGCTTACCCAATAGAAATTAAAGCATATGTCCATACAAAGACCTGTACACAAATGTTCATAGCAGTTTTAATTGTAACAGCTAAAAACTGGAAACAAGCAAATATCTATCAACAGGTGAATGGACAAAAAAAAATCTTAGTATATCCTCACAATGGAATACTAATCAGCAATAAAAATTATTACTGATACATGTGACAACATGGATAAATCTGAAATAATTATGCTAAATGAAGAAAGCAAGACAGAAACAAGTGTACATGTTGTATGATTACATTTATACAAAATTATAGAAAATACAAACTAATTTACAGTTACAGAAAGCAGATCAGTGGTTGCCTGAAGATGGTATTGCCCTATGGAGAGGCATGTGGGAAAGATTAAAAAGGGGCATGAGGAAATGTGGAAACATTTGGAGGTCATAAATATGTCCATTATTCTGATTGTGGTGATGATCTCATAGGTACATACATATGTCAAAACTTAACAAATTATACACTTTAAATATGTACAGTTTATTATATGTCAAACATGCCTCAATAAAGCTGTTAAAAAGAAAAAAAAAAACCAAAAACTAAACCCAATCAAAGGTGAAACAGCAATCCTTTTCTTTGTTCCATGAAGCTGCCTGGATGTTTTTAGTGTTAGAAGAAACTAACCACAACTTCAGGTAACATTTGCTTTTTAAGAAATAATAATAAATGGTAAATTTGTTTTCTAAAAGTTAACTTTTCTCATTTTTTTTATTGTGGTAAAAATATACAATGTTAAATTTACTATTTTAACCCATTTTTAAGTGTATAGTTCAGTAGTGTTAAATATATTCACATCGTTATTGAACAGACCTCTGGAACTTTACCTTGTAAAACTGAAATGCCCTTGGTAACCAACTTTGTACTTTCTGTTTCTATGATTTTGACTATTTTAGATATTTCATATGAGTGGAATCATTTAGTACTTGTCCTAAATGACTAGCTTATTTTGCTTCACATAATGTCCTCAAGGTTCATCCATGTTATAGCATGTGACAGGATTTCCTTCTTTTTTAAGGCTGCAAAATATTTTACCATATATGTATATACCACATTTTCTGTATCCATTCACCTGTTTAGAACATTTGGGGTTGTTTCCAGTTCTTGGCTATTACACATAATGCTGTGATGAACATGGGTATGCAGATATCTCTTTGAGATCCTGCTTTGAATTATTTTGGATATACAGCTGACCCTTGAGTAACGTAGGGGTTGGGGGAACTGACCCTCTGTGCAGTTGAAAATCCACATATAACTTTTTATTCCCCTAAAACTTAAGGTTCAACTGTATACCCAAAAGTGGAATTGCTAAATCATATGGTAATTGTATTTTTAATTTATTCAGGATTACTGTTTTTCATAGTAGCTGCACCATTTTACATCCCCACCAACAATGCAAAGAGTTCCAGCATCTTTGCACTCTCACTAATAAAAGCACTATTAGAGGTGTAGAAGATTAAGGGTTCATCTCCCTAATACAAAATACATTAATATTTCTTTCCATTAGAAGTAGTTATAGATCAGGTAGTAGAGAAAAAATATTATTGCCTAATATAGTTACAAAAAACTAAGAAAGAATAGGAATTTTAAGAGAAAAAGGAATAAAGCTCAGTGAAGTTTTAATTGGATGTTGCCACAAGGTAGAAACAGCATGTATCTAAATGTTTTTGTTGCAGTTGGAGCAATGTTTAGTATTTGTCAACTTTTCCATTATGCTTTCCCTGTGAAAGAAGATAAACTAAAATAAACACAAGTCTAAATTGCCTTTCTGGGCCTCTGGTTCATGTCAACTACTTATCTAAATAGAAATCATGTATGCCTAGTCCCTGCTTTCAAAGGACAGCTTCAAAGAATAAGAAGAAAAACTCTGGAATTCTTCAGTCCCTCTCTGCATCATTTAAACTTAGGAGAAAAGTAAAACCAGGGGGGAAATCTCTAATTTCACATTTGTTCTTTCTCTTCACCAACTGGAAGGTACCAACAGAAAACAATGCAATGGTAGAATTTTGATGTTGAGTATTGTCTTTCTACAACACCTTTCCTCGCTACCTACAGACTTATGTTAAGATCATTGCTTTAGGATACTGCTGATCTTCCTAAATTACATAGACTTAAAATGTCTACTGGACAGCAACCAAAGGAAACAAATACGGATAAAACACAAAAGATCAAGTAAAAATTCATATTTGTCCTTTACATTGTAAAAAATAGTGTGCTAAGCAGCATTCTGCGATTGCCCTCAAGATTCCTTTCACGTTGTAAACTGCCTACGTAGTGGGGCATATCGCAAGGACCTAAGGGTGGCCTCTAGGAGCCAAAAGTGTATCCCAGCCAACGACCAGGAAGAAAAGGTCCTACAATCACAAGGACTGAATTCTACCAACAAGCCTTTAGACTTCAGGACCATGAGTCTGGGACTAAAAGTTGAATAGGTGTGGTGTGGTACCAGACATTAAACACACACACATACACACAAAAAAATAAGCAAACAAAAACAAACTAAAAATATCTAGCAGGTGAGAGGATAAATCAATGATTATAATATATATTGTGTTAAATATCATAATGGTTCAAAGTGCCATGGGATTCCAAAAAGGGTATTTAATTAGACCAGAAAGGAAGATTTTAGAAATGATTCCAAGGTTGGGATGAGGGAGGAGGGTGTAAGTAAGAAGAAGGTAGATAAAGAAGATATAAGGGGGTTATAGTTAAGGCCTTCCAGGTAGGGGAAATAACCTGTATTAAGAGAGAGACAAGAAACAGTAGGAGGTATTCAAATTCTGTAGACTATCCAGAGAAGGGGAAGAGAAGACAAGAGATGAAGCTAAGTGGTAAATACCAGTCAGATCATGAAAGTTCCAAGATATAGGAGGAGGTGGGTAAGCAATAGGTAAAGTCACAAAGATTAGAGAGTGATTACCTTTCCAATGATACTTCATCTGGTCTGCTGAAGTCAAAGGGAAAGGAGCATGTTTCATGTTTAGAGATGGAAATGTTAGGTGGAGGACTTCTTGTCTAATGGCCTCATTCATTGGCTTAGTGAGGTAGTCCTCATGACCTATTTCAAATGCTTCATATACCTGCCCATGTGCTTATATATACCCTCAAAGAATGGCTTTCACTGTGTATTCAGGAATCTGTAGCTCCCCAGGTAGGTCCCATACACAATAATGTTAAAGAACCATTGCATTTTTGGATAAAGCTTTTTTGTTGCTTTTTAGAGTCAGGTTCTGACTATGTTAACCAGATTGGAGTACAGTGGCTATTCACAGGCATGATCATGGCACACTGCATTCTCAAACTCTTGGCCTTAAGCAATCCCGCCTCAGCCTCCCAAGTAGCTGCAACTATAGGCATGCCACTGCACCCAGCTTTTGGATAAAGCTTTAACCCTCAATTCCAATAGCTCCTATGATGTTAATCAATTCTAAGATGAGCAGTCAATGCCAGACTTTCCTAATTACTCAGAGGTCAGCTAGTTGAATACTTCCTTACCATGCTCATCCTTGATTTTAGCAACTGAACTAACTATTCAACAAAGGGCTATTTTGAGTGGTGCCCTTTTAAGTCTACAAAACTAGAAAACTAAACAAAGCAAAGGGACTATTAGAGCTGCAGAGCTCAGGTACTATAGAATCATATATCATCTTATAATGAGAGCACTGGTCCCTGGGTATTCTCTTTTTGGCTGTCCCTTGAGCCAGAGATCAGATCCTCAGCTTTTTCTTGGTTGCATTTAGCAACCAACAAATAAGTAGAGAGAAGTCAAAGATTTGCTTGGAGGATACTGCAGAAAGAGAGTTGAGAGTTGTGGCAGGAGTTATTGTGGGGAAGGATTATGGGGTCTATGCAGTATAAAAAAGAAAATAAAGCTACAAGAGAGTCAAATAAATTGTAAAAGAATGGAACGATCCACCAACTAGATTATTAATTCCTTCATTTATTTAAATATTTGTTACAACTATTATGTGCTATGCATTGATAGGTGCTAGGTTTTTATTCAATCAATTAACAAATATTTATTATTTACTATGAGCCAGGCACTGTTTTAAGTACTGAGGAGATAAGAGTGAATAAACTAGACAAAAATAACTGGTCCTATGGAGAAGACAGACAATAAATAAGTACAATAACTAGAATATCGTATGGTAATAAATGTGATGGAGGAAAATAACTAAGAAGGAGGCCTAGGGAATAGCAGGAAAGTCAGAAAGTAGACATTTAAAATATAACAATCAAGGAAGCCCTCACTGAGAGTTTGTCATTTGAGCAAAGTTCTAAAGGAGGTGAGAGAGTGAGATGTGCATATACATAGGAAAGAACATTCTGGGCAGAAAGTAAAGAATTTGGATCATAATTCCAAAAGACAGAATCCTGAAAGTCATAATCCCAAATGTTGAAATCTCAAAAGATCAAAATCCCTAAAGTCTAAAATTCTGAAAATCACAATCACAGGATAGTTGCATCGTGTTAGGTGAAACTATTGCCTGGTTATTGTCTTTATTTGGAAATGAGTTATGGTTTGAGGAGATGCATATGAATGCCAAGTTGACAAGGAGTAGACTTGTGGATTTAATTTTAGGTGTCAGCTTAATTGGATTAAGGAATATCTAGAAACCTGGTAAAGCATTATTTTGGGTGTGTCTGTGAGGGGGTTTCCAGAGATTAGTATGTGAGTCTGAGTGGAGTGGGTAGAGAAAATCTTCCCTCAATATTGGCAGGCACCATCCAATTAGTCAGGGGCCTGGATAGGACACACACAGAAGGTGAACTGGTCTCTCTCTGAGAACTGGAACAAACTTTTCTTCCACTGCCTTGGACATCAGAACTGCATACCTGCCTGTCTTTAGACTCCATGACTTACACCAGCAGACCCCCGGGAGGTTTTCAGCCTCTGAATGAGTTACACCATCAGCTTCCCTGGTTCTCAACATAAAAACATTGAGACATTGAGCTCCCAAACTGGTAGCTGTGGGACAGGTGGGAAGTGATCAGATTCTGGAAATATCTTGAAGGAAGGGCCAAAAGTTTTTGTTGATATTGATGCTCTTTGCCCTAAGAAATTGGCAGGAGGGAGTTACCATTAACTAAGACAGGAAGCCTGTGAAAGGAGTTGGTTTGGAGGGAAAGTTTCAGAGTTTGATTTTGTATGTTATGTTTGCAATGCTGATTAGACATTCAAGTGAAGATGCTAAGTAGGTAACTGAATATATGCGGTGGGCATAAACATTTAGAATAGTCAACATATAGATTGTATTTTAAAGCCCTGAAATTTCATGAGACTCTAAAGTAGTACACACAGATAGAAGAGACATCCAAGGACAGAGAGATGAAGACTAACAAGAAAAGAAGACTAAGTGGCTTTGCCCCAAAACCACCTCTTCTAGAGAGCCCTGATTATCTCAGAATAGGTTTGGCTTTTAAATAGCATTTGTTGAAATGAGGATTCAAACAAGGTCTATACACTGTATATCTCTTTTAATCTAAAACAGTAATCCCTTCGTTATTGGTTATATTTTTAAAGTTCAACTTTTTTCCTTTCATTTTAAGACCTAGAGTCCCATCATTAGAAACAAATGAAGTAAATTCACAGCAAATAGGTAAAGTTTTACTACCCTTCGTTAACATACATTAAAAGGGGCTTTATGTACTTAGTTATTACCAAAGACTCTCCATAAGCTCGTATTCTGTAATTATCTCTCTCAAAACTACAGTATGTTTTTAAAGAATTAGCCTTTATTAAATTAGCAGAAAAATCTAAGCTACAGTAAATGATAAAAAGTAAAATTGATAATTTATGTTCACACTGATTTACAGAGCACAAAATAAGGGCAATGGTCTTATTCTCCATATTCTATCAGTCTGAAGATAAATGTAACAGAATTTTACTAATTTGTGTGGTAATTACTCAGTGTGCAATTCAGAAGGAAGAAAACACAGGGGGTTGTAATGATAACTCAAATGACCTTTTGGAGAAACAAAGCAGAGAAGTTTTTAGCAAAGAATAATGTTTATTTAAGGTTCTGTCTGTTATGGATTCTATTATAAACAGTGAACTATATATCTTATTAAGGTCATTTAAAATGTATTAAGGACAGAACTCGACACATTTGATACTGCTTATTGGGTTATTGCTACTGACTTTTATTAGGAGGGAGGATGAGGAGAGAGGGAGCAAAAGGAAGAGACAAAGAAGAACATGACTGACAAAAAAGGAAAAGAATAAGAAAAAAAAGAAAAATATCTAGCCTCACTTTATCTCTTATGCATATTCTTATCTACACACGGGTTCCCAACTACTTATGACAAACTCTGGACCAGCTATGTTATGTTTAAAAAAGTAATGCAGTGCTTTACTCTATATTCTGAAACATCCCCAGCAAAGGTCTGGGGCAACACCCAGTAATCTAACACATCAACATTTCTGCAGTAAACTGATGAATATTTACACTAAGTGGGATAAATAAAAACTGTAAATAGCTTCATGTCAGTTCAGTCAGGTTTTGCCACCAAAAAAGCTCAAGTACAGTTTTGCATTCAAATGAGTTAAAAAAAAACACTTGCTTTTTCAGACATTTTTGGATTTTGAATTGCAGATGAGAGATTGTGGACACATATTTCACTAAAAAGGCTGGTTAACTCTATAAGAAAGTCGGCTATCTTTGAAAGCATTTTGCCATAATTCTAGGGACTTGAGAGTGGAACTGAACTTAATTAAAATTTATACGGTAAAGTCTAAATACATGAGGGCTACATCTTTAAATGGAGATAAAAAATTTTTAAATATGCAATTGCTTATTGTGAATACAAGAGATTTTGATGCACTAATTGTTAAAGTGATCACACCCACAACAAAGGATTTTTGTCTACATTCACAGCCTGCAGTGTGATCCCCACGTGTACCCCAGCCCAGGCTTTGTGTGCCTTCTAAGTGTACAGAATTCATTAAACGAGTGAGAAACTGGAAGCACAAGATCCAAATAGAGGTAACAGGTGTCCTACATGAAAGAGAATTAAGTCATAAATCTGTGTTTTAGGGAGAAACGGAGTGCTTCTAGATAAAAATAGCAGAGTGAGTCTTCTTGCGACAACAGATACCTAAACAAAAAGATAAAAATCTTTAGCTATGTCTATTAAACACTTGGCTAATAAGAGGGAAACAGCAGGAATAATCGTTATTTGACATTTATTTCTAAAATCACTTCTATAATTCCCAGAGGTAAAGCTAGCTAGCCCGAAATTAGACCTGCTAGAAAGAGATAGTAATGCACTGATTTAGGGAAGAGCACTTGGTAGAAATATTATTTCCTTTGTTAAGTTAGAAAATGTAAACTATACACAAATAAGTACATTTTGTGATAGAATTTGAAAATTAAATTTAATTGCAGTGTAGCATTTAAATTTCATTATATCAGTAATGTTGGCTATTTAGACATGATGTTCTAGTACAGTTCTAGGTCATGAAACTTGGAGAAAGAGGTCCTAGAATGTTTTTGCTCTATTCTCCTTTACAAATAACCCATATGTGTACTGCATTAATGAATCATCTTGCTAAGTCACCTATTTTTTCTTAAGAATAAAATTTCTGCGGGTGCAGTGCTCATACCTATAATCCCAGCACTTTGGGGAGACCAGAGTGGACAAACTGCTTGAGCTCAGGAGTCCAGCCTGGACAACATGGTGAAACCCCATCTCTAAAAAAATACAAAAATTAGCTGGCTATGGTGGTGTGTGCCTGTGGTCCCAGCTACCTGGGAGGCTGTGGTGGGAGGATTGCTTGAGCTGGGGAAGTCAAGGCTGCAGTGAACCGGGCCTGTGCCACTGCACTCCAGCCCGGGCAACAGAGCAAGAACTTGTCTCAAAAATAATAATAATTAACAATAATAAAATTTATTTAAGATTTATTTCCTCCCCTTATAATCTTACCATACCCAAATGTCCTTATTTAATATTTTTTAAATGTCTCATTTTTACATTTGAATTTATTTAAAAAGCAAATCTTAGGTCAATATTATGTTCTTAAATGGAAAACCAGTAAAATGTTCCATAAATAGAAGGTAAGTACAAAAGTCACTATCAATCCATACATGAGAACACAATAATGTTATTGAATATGAGCCACAAGAGTGTGGCCTGCCTGTGCAGCAACACTCCAAGCTTGGGACATGTCTCTATTTGTTAAAAAGGGAGATTAGCAAGTCAAACAAACAAACTAGCACCAGAATGGGACTCTCTCCATGACCTCATCATGGAGACAAGTATTGGGGGAAAAAAAAAAAGAAAAAAGAAAAAGAAAGGAACTTGCTTATTGCAGGATTTGATTTTCTGAAATTTAGCTGCAGAAATTACCTCTCTTACCATATTACTACTCTTAGAAAAGCTCTACCTTAAGCCAAATGTAATAATCAGAGATGTTAGAGAAAACATTTAGAAATATAGAAATGTGGTATGGTGACAGGAGTTGAAATCTGGACTCTTCCCTCCCTCCACTGCCTTTTCCACTTCTCCTAAGAAATGAAAGGCCTGAAGATTTGGAAAGATTCAGGATAAAATCTCATGTCACTGCTTAGATATAAAAATTAGATTTTTTAAAAACTGAAATGTATAAAATATTTCAAAATGGAAATTGGTAATATCAAAATCATTTTTAGAATGGAGCAATTTGAGTAGAATTTTTGACAATGTCCAAATATTAAGTTGAAATTGTTGTAATTACTGGAATATACATAGATGTATAATGTTTCATCTGTGATTTGAGAAGTTATTTGGGCTTACTCTTCCATTTATTTTCTCTAGAATCAAATTTGTTTCTACTCCTGATTAATATACCTAACCTTCTGAACACCATACATAAGGTTGAATACAGTACACTGTAGGCTACCGTGTCAGTTGTTTACCCTTGTGATCGCGTGGCTGACTGGGAGCTGTAGCTCTCTGCCACTGATTGGCATTGTGAGAGAGTGTCCAACTGCGTATCAAACCCACAGTCAGTATCATACTGAATGGGCAAAAACTGGAAGCATTCCCTTTGAAAACTGGCACAAGACAGGGATGCACTCTCTCACCACTCCTATTCAACGTACTGTTGGAAGTTCTGGCCAGGGGCAATCAGGCAGGAGAAGGAAATAAAGGGTATTCAATTAGGAAAAGAGGAAGTCAAATTGTCCCTGTTTGCAGACGACATGATTGTATACCTAGAAAACCCCATTGTCTCAGCCCAAAATCTCCTTAAGCTGATAAGCAACTTCAGCAAAGTCTCAGGATACAAAATCAATGTACAAAAATCACAAGTATTCTTATACATCAATAACAGACAAACAGAGAGCCAAATCATAAGTGAACTCCCATTCAAAATTGCTTCAAAGAGAATAAAATACTTAGGAATCCAACTTACAAGGGATGTGAAGGACCTCTTCAAGGAGAACTACAAACCACTGCCCAATGAAATAAAAGAGGATACAAACAAATGGAAGAACAGTCTATGCTCATGGGTAGGAAGAATCAATATTGTGAAAATGGCCATAATGCCCAAGGTAATTTATAGATTCAATGCCATCCCCATCAAGCTACCAATGACTTTCTTCACAGAATAGGAAAAAACTACTTTAAAGTTCATATGGAACCAAAAAAGAGCCCACATCGCCAAGTCAATCCTAAGCCAAAAGAACAAAGCTGGAGGCATCACGCTACCTGACTTCAAACTATACTACAAGACTACAGTAACCAAAACAGCATGGTACTGGTACCAAAAGAGAGATACAGAACAATGGAACAGAACAGAGCCCTCAGAAATAATGCCACATATCTACAACTATCTGATCTTTGACAAACCTGACAAAAACAAGAAATGGGGAAACGATTCCCTATTTAATAAATGGTGCTGGGAAAACTGGCTAGCCATATGTAGAAAGCTGAAACTGGATCCCTTCCTTACACCTTATACAAAAATTAATTCAAGATGGATTAAAGATTTAAACGTTAGACCTAAAACCATAAAAACCCTAGAAGAAAACCCTTGGTATTACCATTCAGGACATAGGCATGGGCAAGGACTTCATGTCTAAAACACCAAAAGCAATGGCAACAAAAGCCAAAATTGACAAATGGGATCTAATTAAACTAAAGAGCTTCTGCACAGCAAAAGAAACTACCATCAGAGTGAACAGGCAACCTACAGAATGGGAGAAAATTTTTGCAATCTACTCATCTGACAAAGGGCTAATATCCAGAATCTACAAAGAATTCAAACAAATTTACAAGAAAAAAAACCCCATCAAAAAGTGGGTGAAGGATATCAACAGACACTTCTCAAAAGAAGACATGTATGCAGCCAAAAGACACATGAAAAAATGCTCATCATCACTGGCCATCAGAGAAATGCAAATCAAAACCACAATGAGATACCATCTCACACCAGTTAGAATGGCGATCATTAAAAAGTCAGGAAACAACAGATGCTGGAAGGGGAAGGGGGAGGGATAGCATTAGGAGATATACCTAATGCTAAATGATGAGTTAATGGGTGCAGCATACCAACATGGTACATGTGTACATGTGTAACAAACCTGCACATTGTGCACATGTACCCTAAAACTTAAAATATAATTTAAAAAAGTAAAAAAATAAAAATAAAAATTCAAAATTCCAAGTACTGTTTCAATTCAATGCCTACTGTTTTTGCACCATCGTAAAGTAAAAAAATCATTAAGTTGAACCCTCCTAAGTCGAGGACCGTCTGTAGACATATAACTTGAAAAATCTGGTCAGTGCAACAGACGAATTGAATTTTTAATTTTTATTTAATTTTAATTAATGTAAATTTAAATGGCCACAGGGAACTTGTGGCTACCACATTAGATAGTAAAGCCCTAGAAAATTATGAAAATAGGGTTATAACAGGTTGCTTTGCTTCCTCTCTTGTCCCTCAGTAGTCTATTCTCACTAGTGACTCTTCAATATAGGTCTAATCATGTAATTCCAATGCTTCGTGGCTTCCCATCACACTTAGAATAAAAATTTTAAATTCCTACTCAAGCTCACAGCTCCCTACAAGATTTTTTCCTCAAACTATCTCATCTCAACTATTCACGCTCTCCCCTTCAGTCCTGACACACTCAACTCCAGTCTTGGTGACTCTTAATTAAGCCCTTGCATTTGTCTAGAACACTCCTGTATTAGGCTGTTCTTGCATTGCTGTAAAGAAATATCTGAGGCTAGGTAATTCATAAAGAAAAGAGGTTTAATTGACTCATGGTTCTGTAGGCTTTATAGAAAGCATGGCATTGGAAGGCTTCTGGGGAGATCTCAGGAAGCTTAGAAGGAGAAGGGGGAGTAGGCACATCACATGGTGAAAGCAGGAGCAAGGGAGAGAAAGAGTGGGTGGGGAGGTGTCACATACTTTTAAACAACCTGACCTCGTATGAACCCAGAGCAAGAGCTCACTTATCACCAAGGGGATGACCCAAGCCATTCATGAGAAATCTGCCCACCCACCCCCCATGGCCCCACGATCTAAATACCTCCCAACCAGGCCCCACCTCTAACATTGGGGATTACATGTCAGGATGAGATTTGGGCAGGGACAAACATCTAAACTATATCAACTCCTGTCTGAAATATCCACGTCTGAGCTGCCTCACTTCATTCAGTTCATTGATCAATTCTTACCTCATCTCTATGAGGTAACATCTCTATGAGGCCTTCCTTGACCACCTCAATCTAAAATACCAGCATCACCCACTCCCTCACTCTCTCATACCATTATCCAATTACATAACACTTCATGACATTTATAACACTTTATATTATAGAATTAATCTTTATTGAATGTATTTGACAACAAAATGTAAAACTAATGAGGACAGAGATTTTGTCTCTTTTGTTAACTGGTGTATCCCTAAATGTCTAGGACAACTGCTAGTACACAACAGATTCTCAATAAATATTTACTGAATGACAATAAACTCAAATCTCATTTACCCTCTCTCAGTCTTACAGTCACATAAGAAATATTTATTCAGTGCTCATTATTTACAAGGCACTGCATCAGACAATGTAGGGAATTCAAATTGAAAGTAGCTTAGACCCTGTAAATCAGATTACTGCTGGAATACTCCTTAAAGTTCTTTAAATCCTAAGTTTTGAGCCTATGACTTAGAAATAGCTGGAACTGTTTCCATTGGGGAAGAGAGTAGGAGATATGATGTCTATCTTTTAATGTTAAAACATTTGCCATCTGGAAGAAGTAGTCTTTTTATGGTATTCCTAACAGAATGCAGAACTGAGACCAATGAGTTAAAATTGGGTAGTTTTCAGTATCATATATGTACCTTCTAATAATATAGAAAAACTCTTGAGATAATGTCCTTAAGTGGTTAAGCAGAGGGAAATAACCATCTGGAGAGGATGTCATAGGGATTTTCCTATATTAGGTGACTGGGGTGGCCTCAGAGGACCTCTAACATGTTTTCCAAGTCTAACACTATATTGTCTGTAAAATGCTATAATGAACGCAAATTAATATATGTTATTTTCTAACAAGTTGCTTCCTGCTTGTTACAAGTAATAACTTTCAGGGTTGACAGACAGTAGGGAATGAAAATGAGGATCAAAACAGAATTAACACACAAATATTCTACTGAATAATTAAGAACACTATGTACCTGTGCTTGCAGAAATACAGTCATGTAAGTATCAGATTGAACCATATGAAACTAATAATATTTGACCATCTTTATGGTTCAACTTAAAAATGACTTGTCAGGTTTTATTAGCATAGTCACTATGTAATTTCTGTATCTGCATTATTAGAAAGTCATTCTTAAAAGTATTCGGCTAACAGAAAACAAAATCAATGCAATAGCATATGCCATCTTCTAACATTTCACTTGGACTAACAAAACACGATAAATCCTTGGTTCCAATCAATAGACCGTGAGAGATTTACTCTTAAAACCTACAACTAATAGGTCCATTAATTCCTAGGAACTTGAAAAATCTGCTAAAAACAAATTGTGTACTATAATATATGCTAGGACTAGACATGTAGTTCAGTAGCAGATTCAAACTTGTTAGTTAATAATCAGAATCTAGATGACAACCCCCTACTTCAATTAGTAATTACATCTTAGGTAATCAGTACAATTATAATACAACCAGGTTTTTTTCTTAATTCAAAAACCAAGTATAATTTTTAGGTCTGAGGTTTACAAAGGGCATTTCAGCTTTCTTAAACCTAAATCTACATCTTAGCAGTCTAATGTTAGAGGTTATTTCCAAAATCAACAATACTTTACTGGAATTGGTAGCATTCCTTTAGTACTGAGATTTTCGAGTAAGCAAGCTTTACATTTTCCATTACAGGACTGTTTTGTTTTAGTCCATGGCAAGACAACACAACCTTATTATCAGGAAATATATCTTGATGTTTTTTGTTTCACTATAAATACCCATTTACATTTACCTGATAATTCCAACTGGTTTTTGGCATGAATTGGCTATTTGTTTAATTGACCATGTCAAAAGTATTCTGTCAGAAGTAAAGGAAATTTTTAGAAGTCAAACCAAGAAATAATAGCTTTACTGAGAAATGATTAAATTTTTTATAGTAAAAAAAAGATTATCCTTTTTGAAGAATAGTATCTTATCAATTTGTAAAATCAACCATACAATAGTGTTGACAAAAACTTTTGTGTGCAAATAAAATTGCAATATTACAGTTTTAGTAAAAACAATTCATTTAAACTAATAAATCAAACAGAGTAATTTAGAGTGGGGTTATTTTGTTCTGTTTATAAATGGGGGTAATTTTGGGTTGTTTTTCTGTTCAGTTTACTGACACAGATTTTGTCTTAAACACTTTGTCTAGAAATCCGTCTTGTATATTACAACAAAACTACCCTATATACTGAAAAAGTTGCTAATAAATTCGATTGTATTTTATATAAAAAGTAAATGCCATGGTGCTTATTTTTCCTAGCTATGTATCTCTGAGCCCCTTACCCTTAAAAACAATAGGATTGACAATTATGAGTTAGAAAAATACACAACTCTTAACAGATATTCTTCTTCCATTTCCACTGCCCTTACTCCCTGTTGCACAATCTGTCTTCCAATACAGAGATCAGAAATTCTAGGTATTTAACTTCCCAGTCTCACTGCAGTGAGGATATAAGCAACCCATCCTAGCTAATGGTACTGAGACAGAATGTAGTGAGAGAGAAACCAGGAAAGATTTTCCTTCCTAACAAAAAGATAAATGAGGGGAAATGTCTTTATTCTTTGTCTAGCGATGCAAAAAAGAATTAACATAGCAGGCTTGCTCGCAAGGTTGACCTTTAGCTGGCATCTGAGAACTTTGATTTCAGGAGGGTTCTCACTACTCCCCAAACTCTTTTTTTTTTTTTTTTTTGAGACGGAGTCTCACCTTGTCGCCCAGGCTGGAGTGCAGTGGCACAATCTTGGCTCACTGCAAGCGCCGCCTCCCGGGTTCATGCCATTCCCCTGCCTCAGCCTCTCTAGTAGCTGGGATTACAGGCGCCCGTCACCACGCCCGGCTAACTTTTCGTATTTTTAGTAGACACGGGTTTCACTGTGTTAGCCAGGATGATGTCGATCTCCTGACTTCGTGATCTGCCCGCCTCGGCCTCCCAAAGTGTTAGGATTACAGGCGTGAGCCACCGCACCAGGCCACTACTCCCCAAACTCTTAAAAGTGGCACACTGTGTGTCTAAACTATTTGTGCAAACAATGTGGTTTATGCTGAACACCTGCTTTCCTTATGGGAATCTGGAATTTTGGTAAGTGCTCGGCAGAGGTTACCCACATGATCAGCCCTGAAGGTAATATTCCTTGCCCACAGTAAGTAGTCAAAATGTTAGCCATTATTATTTCATTACTGCACTTTAAAGAGTCTTATAAAGTGGGCCAATTTACTTTTCTCAGCCTATTATCAAGTTCAATAATTAGAAAAGTATCAGATACATTTATTGATGTAGTTAGCATTTCCAGTGTTCTTCATTTTGTTGTGTAAATCCATTTGGTATCATTACCCTACTGCCTGAACAACTGTCTTTAACATTTCTGGTAATGCAGATCTGCTGGTTATCAATTCTTTCAGCTACTGTATATCTGGGGAAAAAAAACCACTTTATTTCGCCTTTGTTTTTGAAAGATATTTTCTTTGGGTAGAAATTTTAGGCTGACAGTTTCAGCACTTTAAAGATGTCACTATGCCTTCTTCTTGTTTGCACTATTTTTGACAAGTAATATACTGTAATAGTCATCTTTGTTCCTCTGTACGTAACCCAATTTCCTCTCTCTGTCCCACATGCTCGCTTGCCTTTTTCTTTGGCTTTTTTTTCTATGACTACTTCTAAGATTTTCTCTTTATCAGAGGTGTTGAACAGTTTGAATATAATGTGCCTTGGTGTAATTTTCTTCATGTTTCCTATGCTTTGTGTTCACGGAGATTCCGAAGGTGTGGGTTTATAGTTTTCATCAAATCCAGAAAAATCTCAGCCATTATTTCTTCCAATATTTTT
This sequence comes from Homo sapiens, assembly GCF_000001405.40. NCBI lineage: Eukaryota > Metazoa > Chordata > Mammalia > Primates > Hominidae > Homo > Homo sapiens. Next base: position 86,612,501 of record NC_000004.12, on the reverse strand, counting down.
TCTATCATGCTTTCTCTCTCCTCTACTTCAGGGACTCAAATTTCATATGTTGAGCTACTTAAAGTTCCCACAGCTCAGATATTCTGTTCATTTTTGAGTCTTTAGAGGTTTAATATATTCCTACTTAACTTTTGAACACATGAAATAGTTACATAAAACTTTTAATGTATTTATCTGCTAATTCTAACCTCTGTGTCAGTTTTGAGACAGTTATGATTATTATCTTCTCATTATAGATCATATTTTCCTGCTTCTTTGTGTGCCTGAAAATTACCGGATGCTATATATCATAAATTTTATCTAGTTGGGTGTAAAATATTTGTAAATATTTTTGAGTTTTGCTCAGGCTTGAAGTTAAATTATTTGAAAACTTCAAAGTTTGATCTTTTCAGGTCTTATTTTAAAGATTTGTTGGACTTGTCCAGAGCAGTACTCAGTCTAGGGCTAATTATTCCTCACTACTGCGTAAGATTCTTCTGTGTGCTCTACCCAGTGCTTCATACATCTTGAGCATTTGCAGCCCAGTTTGTGGGAACAGGCACTATTCCTAGCCCTGTGTGAGCACAAGTACGGTTTCTTTGAATCCTTTTGTGTGGTTCCTTGTCAGGCCTCTGGTCCTTTCCTGACATGCATGTAATGTTGAATACTCAGCTGAATACTCAAAGGGGACCATCTGTAGATCTCCAGGGTTTTTTCTCTGCAGTTCTCACTTCTCTAGTACTCTGTCCTGTTAACTCTAACTGCCTTGGTCTCCTCAGACTTTCAGCTCCATCTCCTGAACTCAGGGAGTCTACCATTCTCCATCTGGTTTCTCCCACCATATGCCGCAGCCTGGAAACTCTCTCAAGGTAGTAAGTAGAGGTAGTGATAAGGCTTATCTTGTTTCCATCTCTCACGGATCACTGTCCTTTATTACCCGATGTACAGTGTCCTGAAAATTGTTGTTTCACATATTTTGTCCCTATTTTAGTTTTTTGCAGGCAGGTGGGTAAATCTTATCCCTGTTATTCCATCTTAGCTACAAGTTTCACTAACTTATGCTTATTTCTCTGTACTGAACCACTGTAAATGGCATCCCAGTTCAATCATCCCTGATAGAGTAGGGTCAAATCTTACATGGTTATGAGATCACCCCTCTAGATTGTTTTCTGTGGGCCTTTTCACTAACTGCCTTAAAGGCAGTCCATTCTGCTTAAAAAGCAATTTTAAAAGAAGTAATATTAAGACTAAGTAAGGAATTGTAATGCTATGGGGAAGAATGTCTGGAAGTTTGTGCAGGTAAATAAATCACAAAGTGATTGACTTTCTACAGAGTTTGTACAAGAGGATTTTTATTTTATAACTCTTGCAAATGAAAATAATAATCGTGGGAGAAGCAGGGAGATACTGAATGTGAAAGTAGGAAAAAGGAAGAATAGCAGAACTTGACAATGAAAGGGGATCAGAATAAAATTTTTCTAAGAAAAATAATGGAAATCAAGTCATATATTTACACATAAGACATCATCTTCTATACATTTTAGGAACTAGTCTTTTGCTCTCTCTTCCTACACAAAAAATCCAATTATTTACTTCATTAATATGCTAAGGTAAAATATTAATCAAAACAGACAGCTGGAATCATTATTAATACCATTATCTCTTAATAAGTATCAAAACAGAATAGGCAAGTTCATGCAAGTGTAAGGCTGTTAAGATAATCTAGGGCATAAACTCCATACTGGTGGCCCATGGGCTTTATTTGGCCTGCTGACATGTTTTGTTTGGCCTATAGGACAACAGCCTACACCACATTTGCAAAAGTGTAAATTTGCATTCCAACGTTTACAAATTAGAAGACTTCACAAATTAGGGAGATTTCATATAAAAATTGGAGGGAAAAATAGGAGATGTGGCAGCACTCAAGGTGGATAGTAGCTTCCCACTTTATCTAGTCTGAGCTCTTTAGTTCACTACAGTTTTCATCACTCATTATTGTCTTCCTCCTCACTTAACTGCCCTGGCCCCTTTTTTGCCCCTGCAGGCATTTAGGCTAGTGACACTTGATTTAGGCTATGTATAATAATATTCTAACAAACTAACATTTTTTGACTTTGAGAATAACTGCATAAAAGCATGACCAAAATTTCTAATTTCTCTAAAGGGGAGATAGATTCCTAGAAAGATACTTTGAAAGAGTTCTTATTTTCTACCAATAGTAGGAAGCTGTCTTTGGGGCACATTTTTAAACTACAGATTACTGGGGCTGCAGGAAGTATTCCAAAATCTTTATTTTATTTTATTTTATTTTTGAGATGGAGTTTTGCTGTCGTCTGGCTGGAGTGCAGTGGTGTGATCTTGGCTCACCGCAACCTCTGCCTCCTGGGTTCAAGCGATTCTCCTGCCTCAGCCTCCCAAGTAGCTGGGACTACAGGAGCGTGCCACCACACCCGGCCAATTTTTGTATTTTTAGTAGAGATGGGGTTTCACCATGTTGAATCTAAACTTTAGGTACATAATAAGACTAACTCCATATTTAGTCTTAGTATTCATACTTAAGCCAAGGAAAGAAAACTAGAAAAACAAACATGTTTTTAAAAATTTCTATGTATCTAGCTTCTTTGCACACCAATGCTCTATAAGATAACTGAAATAGATCTAAGTCCCCCGAAGTACAACTTCGGTTGTACCCAATATTTGTCAACCTCAATTAAAAGAAAATTTTCAACTTAAACAAAACCATAAAATTAGTACTGCTAAGACATCCACGTTTGCTTTTACGACTAACTGATATCTAAGTGCTAACAAAAGAAAGGGATTAACAGGTTAAAAGTGTGAAACATGTTTGACTAATGAGGTAATCTGAGGAAAAAAAAGAAAAGCAGAAAAAATAAGTTATGCTATTTAATATATAAAAGATGAATACTTTATTTGTATAAATTCTTTTCAAAAGCCAAGAGCTTTTAGCATACTACGAGGGTACATACAAAGTTTCACACTGAGGAAGACTAAAACACCAGTTTAGTGCAACATTATGTCTCCTCCTGGCTTCGGTGACATTACTGAAAATGAAGGATACAGAAAAGCACCCCAGGAAGGGGACTTGGAGGCAAAACAAAGATGACTTACTTTTCAATCTTTGTACATTTTCAACCTTATATAAATACAAGTTTTACCTATTCTATAAAATAAGATACTTAATAATAAACTTTATCTGCTATAACTAAAGTCTGCATAACTCATCCTCTTCAGAGGATAACAAAACTGTTTACTTAATAAAAGAATTACATGATCATCTAAACTATTTTCATAGGGATAACAGTACATGACTCGTAAGAAAAAAATAGATGTGAAGACAGCCAGTTGAGGGAAAGGATTAATAGTGATTTCAATTTTATGTCTCAAAGAACTCTAAGCTACAAAGTCCACTTCTCCAACTAAGAGCAAATGGCAACCAATTGTGAATGAATTCTAAAACCATGTGATAAACTAAAATTTAGAAACTTTTGTAGTTCTCCTCAGACACTTTTTACATCACCACATACAAAGCATCCAGCCCTACTGAAAGAGTCAATTCAAAGGAGAAGAAAAGAAACTTTGTTAGCAGTCAACAACAGTTTGGGGCTCTGTAAATAACTGCCATCAACCAAACCAAAGGATGATTTTTAAACGTACTAAGTATGTAATGAAGACTTGGTCATAAACTATTCTCAATGGCCATACCTTAATAAGATAATTATTTCCAACTCTGAACTAAAAGTTATAAATGATTTTCACTATTAAAATACCTAGTGCATAGTGTTTAGGCACACAGGCTTCGGAACCAGATTGCCTAGATGCAAAATGCTGGCTCTCCCACTTACCATCTATATTTGGGCAGATTTTAATTAATCTAAGTGCACCTCAGTTTCCATTATCTATAAAAAGGAAGATAACAGTAGTATTTACCATAAAGTTATTTTGAGGAATTAAATTTTTATTAAACAGTATATTTTATAAGCATGTACTATCATTATAATTACCTAATCATCTTTGTAAAGCAGCAACCCAGCCTAATTTTATAAGCATGTACTATCATTTCTAGTCATCTTTGTAAAGCAGCAACAGAGCCTCAAGTAAATCTTCCAAGAATTGGCTAGAATAACATAAAGCATTAGAATCAGTAAGCTTCCTCCATATTTAGAAGAAAAAAATCTTCGGGCAAAATATCATAATTTGTTCCTCAACTTAACAAACCAGATTCTATACATAGTGAATTCTTCACAGTCGAATCTCTCTACTCCTAAAATAGGTTGGTTCTCCCTATACAAATCTTTATAATGTCCCTCACTATTTTTTTCTGGCCTTTTTAAATGAAAGTTTTTATTAAAAAATAAGGCAACACAAAAACAATAGTTATGATCATGCTTTATTTGCCAGGTTTTACCTTTTATCTATTTAACATATTTCCATGTTACAAAAAGCTCCTTATCAATCTAATTTTTGATGACCACAAAATTCTATTGTAAGGATTTAGAATAAATCATTCCTCTTTTCTAAGCTATTTGTTTCCAATTTTATATTACTACAAATAATGCTGTGATGAGCATCTAAACATTGTTAAAAGATTTTCAAAAGGGCACTTCATTATCTTTACTTTACTCAACAGTTTTATAGGAACTCGGCGCTGTGAAGCCCAAAAGTGACAAGTTAGTAGAGGAAGACCTTGAAAAAAGAAAAGCTAAAAGGAAAATATATCATTGCAAGAACTGTTTTAAAAGCTCATAAAAAAACTCATGAATTTAGATGCCAAATTAGACTGCCAAGGTCTCTTTCATCTTTTCTAGGGAAATTGAGGCGATTTTTTGCCCCACCTTAATACTGCTCATGTCAAAAGACACTACTGATATGAGAAGTTACAGTTATGATAGCTGACTGGAGTAGGACAGGCTTGGATTCAAGTGTGTACTCCACTACCACTCATTAAGCCTCTCTAAGCCTCAGTTTTCTCATCTGTAAAATAAGAATAACAGCATTTACTTCACAGGATTGCGTGTACCTCAACAGGACTGTAAAGATAAATAATATACTACGTCTCAATTTCTTAAAAGAGTGCCTAGCACACAATAATATTCAAATAGTACCTTATCATTGGAGTCATTTTCAGTGTTCATTTAGATGATGTGAAAGACAATATAAGCATACACGTATATATTAATGGTGTAATCTACAGATTATAATGGCATAGAATCCTATTTATAGACATCATAGATATCTTTTAAAATATTTTCATGTAGTATAAAAAGGTTGTAAAATGTAGATGGATATATAAAAATCTTTATGATATCCCTCATTAGGGTAGTAAGGGTATTTAAAGACTTTTTTTAAAAAAAAGATTAACAGTTTTAAAGGAATCATAAACATGAATTTTGCTGTTTATAGCACATACAATTATAATTTTTATCTTGAGACAGAATCAAATTTTTAAGTCTTATTTTATATGATTAAGAGGTTTAATGAATTTAAAAGAATGCTAAGTGCTCCAGGATTAATTTATCAGCTGGAATAACATTATTTCCTCTTGAGTTATTTTTCTTAGAACTATGTGGCAATACAAAAAGCAGCAGAAAATGTACTGGCCACCATTATGGACAGTTATTAATCAAGGCAATGACAATCCTTCAGATGATATGGCTAGCTAAAATAGTACTTTTAGAGGTCTATACTGAATTTTGCTGTTATTTAACAAGCAACTAGGTGACTTTATGCAATCAACTAGGTATTTGTAGAGTCAAGGAGTTTCATTATGTTATTTCAAGAATTAAGAAAAAAATCTAGTCTTGAGTGGGTAAAATACTAAACCTATTTATTGAATTGCATTGCACTTGACGGTACGCCAAATAAAACATTTATCTGATTTTCAGATGGAAAGATGCGATTCATTTAGAAACTTTTTAGGAATAGATACCTGCCAAGTATAATGCTAATTTGTAAGAGGAGAATAGAATTATTTTCATTATTTCATTCATTCATTTCTATTTCTTTAGACAGTAGTCAAAACAATTTGTGGAAAGCACTTACAATTAATTTTAAATTATGAATCCTAGTGATTATCACAATAAATAAGCATAAAGACTAACAGTAAAGTCACACTGGGGCAAATATAAAACCAACTACTATAGCAGAATATTAAAAAATGAGTAAGATTTTGATTTAAACAGTTTTTTTCTAAGTGTATAGTGTAGGTGGCTCATTTTAAATACAGCCCCAATCCCAGATTAAGTGAACCAAGCAGTAACTAATCCACACAGCATATTCAATTAAACAAACATCATATACTTGTTTTAGGATCAAGATCCTTTGTTGGCGCTTGTTCTAAAAAAGTGGCAGATAGAGGAAAATGATAAATATCTTTAATTCAATCAATAGTTGGCTTATTGAGCAAATTTAGAAACTACTAAAAAAATCACTTTCCATTTCACCCAATCCTCCCAGCCTCAGTGGGATTTCCTCATTACTACAAGCCCCATATTTTACTTGACCATTATAGACTGTAATAATTTCTTTCACTTTACTCTTCGTTTTCTGCAAATGTGGACTGAGGCCATCACTGTTCAACTTATTCAACTTCAAACTCACAAAGCCTCTATAAATCCTTTAACAACCTCTCATTACTTTCCCAACAGTAATGATTCCCAACTTTACCTATATCTCTTTATTTTCACCACTACCCAAATAATGCCTGAGATAATCTTGCCTCCTATGACAGCACTTTCTGAAGATACTATCACTAAGTGTAAATTATCTATAAAATCTTATTTTTAGATTTTATATGCCAAGAGATAATCTTGCCTCCTATGACAGCACTTTCTGAAGATACTATCATTAAGTGTAAATTATCTATAAAATCTTATTTTTATTTCTATTCATCAATAGGCCCACATCTATCTTTGTAGCCTTTCCTTCAATCTTACAGGAAAAAGTTGTTTCCCCCTGACTAAAATGAATACCTCTACCTAGGACTCATTCTTTACCATCCAGACAATCCTCATAAAAGGAGATGATTCTTTCTCACTCTGCCATTTTAAATCTCTTAATCTCACAGAATCAATCTGTTCTTTCACCACCTTTGATCTTAAAAAGGAAAAATGTTCTGACCCTATGAATCCTCATAGATCAGATCATCCAACTTTCATCTGTTTTGAAACCAAATATCATCCCCCATTTCAATTTCCTTTCTATCCCTGCAATATTCAACTGATCACAATGTTCTACTTTTCTTTAGCCTTCTCTCTTTGGCTCCCTGTGGCATCTGGAACTATTGGTCCTTTACCCTCCACTCTCCTAAGGCACTTTCTTTAACATAACATTTTCCTAGTTTCTTAGGCACTCCCTTCTCTGTCCTCATCCTTTTCTCACTTTGACAGGTCATCTTCAGCATTTCTTTGTAAACACTTCCCTCATGAATTCACTTACTCTTATCTTTTGTTTTACTCCATGACATACCATTCCCATCTACAGACATTTAATGTCTTCAAGACTCAGCTCACACTCTACTCCCCAAGTGAATCCTGATTAAATCAGACCACACTTTCTTCCTTAAAGCTTTCATTGCAGTTAATCATTATTTTACAATATATAATGGCTTCCTGTCTTTTCTCTGTGTGTTTCAAGCAAGATTTTAAGTTTTTTGGTAGCAACCACTTTTATTTTTCAATATTTCTCAAAATACGGAAAATAATTCTGAACATAGAGTGGTCAAATATGTTACAGTAGTATAATTAGTTTACACAAGAAACAAAGGATATTAAAAAAATAAATGTATTTATAAAACATTTCTAATTGTTGCTATTTTTTAAATGGTCGAATAATGCTGTGGTATTTTTTTCTATCAATTTCTGTATTTTTCACATATTCAAGGGGACATGGCGGATTTACCTATTTTGTTTCCTTTAAAATGTCAACCATTTTAGTCTTAAAGTAGCTTATATGTAGCTACTGTACCTAAAAAGATCTTACATATAAAACAATCTGATAACCAAAGCAATAGCAGTGGCCTAATCAAACCAATGTAAACTAAAGAGGCTAAAATCTGAGTGATAAAGAGATGCTTTTATCTCAGCATTATTAATCAGATTTATTAGGTTACTATTTCTCTCAGTAACACAATTGAAGAGGGAAGTAAAGGTAAACAATTCCTGTAAACAGAATCAGTAGGCTATGCCCAATCATTTTATATGTGTATAATTCAGGAATAAAGCTTACAAAACCTTTTGAGATATATATTATTATTTGCATTTTACAGATCAGAAATAGATTAAATTTATCCAAAGTCATTCTAATTACTAAAAGAGCTAAAACTCAAACCGAGGACTACCCAAATTCAATGTGTTTGCTCTTTCTATTATACTGTGCTTCCTAATTTAGGTCTGAACATGAATAAACAAGTCATAACACTACCTGAATTCAGTTTTCACAAAAGCTAAACACTTAAGAATGAATATAAGTAGACATTAATTTTGTCTTGTTAAAAGGTTAACAATAACTCAATTTAGTATTTCAATAGTGGGTCAAATATTGATTTTTTAATTATATAAATTAATCATATTATTACAAATAATTAAATGTCAAACAATGCAAAGCACAAAAGTACCAAATGATCTTAATGGCCATGAACTAGTCTCCCTGAAGAGTAAATCCAGTTTCTTAAATATCCACTAGGTCGAGGTACTTTATTAGCATCATCTGAGTGATGCTAATTATCTGAGTTCATGCTGAATAAATCAATTTATTGGCAGGATATATTGCAGAGAATAGCTGTGAAGACAAAATGACATGTAAAACATATAATGTAATGACTCATTTTATATAGTTAAAAAAGGGAACTGGGTATAAGAGATGCTAAGAGATGTGTTATGAATTCTGTAGTTAATAAATGAAAAATTATACATACCATATCATCTTTGGAATTCATAACATACATTAGAGCATATTTAAAGTTCTGTGAGAAATACCAAATAATTTTTAACAGAAAAGCTATTAAAAGCATGCACAATATCAGCTAGGAAATGTGACCACAAACACTTTCTAAAGAATTTTAGGTTATATTACACAGTACTTAGCCTCAGAAGCATAGCAACATAAGATTCACAAATATTAAGTAATAATTCTGTGTGAGACTGTGAACATGTACATTTTAACAAACTACAATTTATATATCTGACAGTGTCACCTTTCTAAATAGACACTTCAGAAGGGTAAACAAGGACAAGTTATCAAAAATATTTTTGGAATCTTCTTTTCTAATTATGTTTAGATATTTTTAAAATATTCATTTTACTTTATACTCCATTTTTCATTTTAATTCAAATTATACTTCTTATCACTCACCTTTCTAAAACATGAAAAAATATATTATTTAATTAAATCAAACCTACTCTCAAAGAAGAGATATACCACCAAAAAGGATGTTTAAAACAATATGCCATATGTCCTAAAAGTGATTCCTAAACAGGAAATACAGTGTTCTAAACATGAGTAGTTTGAGGCCAGGCATGGCAGCTCATCCTGTAATCCCAACACCTTAAGAGGCTGAGGCAGGAGGATCGCTTGAGTCCAGTAGTTTGAGACCAGCCTGCGCAACATAAGGAGACCCCATTTCTACAAATAAATACAAATAAAATTAGCCAGGTGTGTGTGGCAGCAGGTGCCTGTAATCCAAGTGCTTTGCGGGGCTGAAGTAGGAGGATCAGTTGAGCATGGGAGGTTGAAGTGCTGCAGTAACCTGTGATTGGGTCACTACACTCCAGCCTGAGTGACTGAGACCTTGTCTCAAAAAAAAAAAAAAAATCAGAAAAATAATTATAGTAGTTTGAAAAGGATGACATTCATTTCACAAGTTCTAGTAAGTGTGTAAAAATCTGGCACACATCACATGTATCAACAAGCCCAAGCGATGACTGGAAGGAACATGTGGCCCAAGGAACAAAGTAGGCCTATAAACTTTGAAACAAGAAACCATATTTAAGTTCATATATTACCTGTACCGTGTTAAAAAAACTGTTATAAATCAAATATAAGTATACTAAAAATAATAATAGCTAATATTTATTAAACACATAGTATGTATTAAGCACTATTCTAAGTGCTTTTCATGTATTAACTCATTTGGTTCTCACAACAATCCCATAAAGTAGGCTTGGTTATCATCCTCATTTTGAAGATGAGGAAAATAAAGTACAGCAAGGTTAAGTAACTTGGGCAAGGTCACAGAGCTTGTAAACCATAGAGTCAGATCAAAACCCAGGCATTCTGGCTCCTAGTCTATGCTTTAAATACCATACTATACTGTTTCTCTAAATCAAACAGGAGTGGTCAACACCATGCACAGCAACATCTAAAAACAAATCACCTGTATATATATTCAGATAGGTACCCACATGTTTGCTAAGTTTTACAAGGCAATTTACATGTTATTTAATATTATCTTCACAGCCACTCTGTACAATACATCCTGCCAATAGATTGATTTATTCAGCATGAACTCAGATGATTAAAGCTATGTGGCCTCAGACTATTCCCCTAAGTTGCCTGTCTTGGAAATGTGTCTTCTCTATGCACCACCAGTGCCTAGTAGAGTGTCTGGCAAAGAATAGGAATCAATGAATAAGGAACAATTAAAAAGGGAACTAGGTATACAAATGTTGGATAAGCCCAGATTTATCATTACAGATTCATCTAGAAAAATCCTCAAACATTGTGGCTCACAGACAGTGATTCTTAAGTATCCCCGCGGTGGAAGAACAGCAGTATTCATTTTTTCAATTGAATGTTAGTATCTCAATACAATCTTAAAATCCCTTTGAAGTTAGAAAGTTTGATGTACTAACATAAACCTGAAAAAGATTCAGGTGAAATCTTACCTTAAAAACAGAGCTCAATTTGGTCTTCACACAATCAGTGTGATATATTATGTAACCATATTAAAATATTTTCTTTTGTTCAAAAATTGAAGGAAATTTCTATTAAATATTAAGTTTTAATATTAGAGAATAATATATTCTAAATTTTTCACTGTAACTCTAAGAATTATATGCCACAAACTGTGAACATAGGGGAATATGTTAAATTATAACTGAAGTTACAGTATCTCTGGGTACTATGTAATAACACATATCCTGTTTTTCATTTCTATACTACTTAAGGCAGTGCCAGAATTTAAGCTCCAATGGAACTCAAGTAAATGGTATAGCTACAATAGTTTTATCTGGTGTAGATTTGATAACCGAACATTCCCAAACTAAAGTTTCTATTATATTATCATAGTGATTTTTTATTTAATTTTTAGGTTTTTGTTTTAAACCACCTGTCCCAGCTTTCATGAAGTACAGCTACAAAAATACATTTCAGTCTTGGTAAATTTTCATAGAGTACTAGAAAATTCACATATGTTATACATTGCTTTAAGCTCATTCCTTGAACCAGGCAGAGAAATCAGCATCAAAATAAAATTAGAACAGATTGTGTAAAGAATGAATTTAATCAATATGGTGTTCAAATAATTTCATGAAATTACATCTCAGCTAAAGTCAGAAATATAAAAGACACTGACAAGGGAATTTATCATTAAAAACTGAAACTTCTGTTCTAAAATACTAATTATTTTTGCTTCAAAAACTGAATTACATTATATGTTCCAGAAGAAATATTTAACTACACTAAGACCTAAAATAATCATCCCCTAAATAATTTAAATGTTTATTTTTAAAATTACACTTTTTTAGAAGAAGCAAAAATACTTAAATAGTGCTAAAAGAAGTTTTTAAAATTCCCAGGCTGTATCTTTCCTCAAAAAACAAAACAGAACACAACTTTGAATATCTTTAACACAATCTCAGGTTATATAATCATTCTAACCTTAAGTTCAACAAGAATGTTTCATTTTTGTTCCACAGACTCTATTACAACTAAGTGGGGAAGCATTAAAACATGAAACTGATATCGTACACAAAACATTCCATCAAGCATTCTTTCAACAATATAACTCCCAGTGTTCTGTAGGCAAATCTACCTGATCAGAATAGGTAAAAAAAAAAAAAAAAAAAAAAAAAAGTGGTTATGTAAAAAAAAAAAATACCATCTACCAAGAAGGAATATTTTTAATTGAAATTAATTATTGTTCCTACTCTACTCAGAGCATACTAAACCAATAAAACTTTGATTAGGAAACATCTTTTCTAGGTGTGTAAGGAGGGGGTATAGGATGAACCACACAGCAGTTTCTTGTAAGCTGTGCATCAGTAGTTACCAAGTGGCAAATACCATTAAGTTTGATGACACAGTCTTAGCTTCCAAACATTGGGAATTCTTTAGGAATCTCATTTTTTTCAAGGAAATGCCTTCCCCTATAAGAAAAAAATTTTCTCTCACACCTTTATGCTCATGTTAAAACTAATAAAACAGTTTTCTGTTGAAAGCTCAATCACATCATTTGATAACTCAGAATTTCTGTATGCAAAAGAAAAAGGATCTTTAGCAAAAAGGAAAACTTTTAATCAAATCCTAACATTTGTGTTGAAATGATGACTATTTTCAGTATTTTGGGACATCACATTTCCAGACCTGAAACTTGCAGTACACAAGGGCAATTAAGCCATTAGTTAGGTTTAGAGCATACTGATATAAGTAATAAAAACAAGGACACTAAATTTCCTCTTCTCAGTTAACTTTGAAAAGAAAAACCTTTAACTAGGTACAAAAGACTGAGGAAAGAGGAAATGTATAAAAAATGTGGTATTTCTCCTGACTTTAAAAAAAGTAACTTTAAAAAATAACACAATATATTTTTAAATTATAAATCTGAAGGAAATAACAGGAATTATATATATGCCATTTCAGATGATAAGAAACATACACAAATTTCAAAACCTCTAAGCAGTACAGGACTTTCTGTGATGAGGAAATGTTCTATATCTGAGCTGTTTGCTACAGTAGCTAGTAGCTGCAAGTGGCTCCTGAGCACTTAAAATATGGCTAGTTGTAATAAGCAGAATTTTAAATTGTATCTAATTTTAATTAATTAAAATATAAATTTACATACCATATATGGCCAGGGAAACTACATTTGACAGTACAGCTCTAGGGAAATATTTGTACCTTAAATTCTCATCCAAATAGTAAAAAGGCCTGTAGATAGGCATATACATAGATGCTTCTGAGACATTTTTGTGTTTTAAATTCTTAAGATTTATATAGAAAAAATACATAAATATAAAATATAATCCAACACAAAAAATGTTGCTGCATTTATGGGAACCAAATTTTCTACACTCTATTCTAGTAGAGTCTAGAACATTGGTTCCAAAGTTGACTATGGTTTCTTAAGGAGTTTCTAAAAATACAGATGCCAGGGTCTCATCCACAATGATTCTGGTTTAATAGTCTGAGTTGAGGCCGGGGCATGGAGATTATTAAAAGCTATCCAGACCAGGTGCAGTGGCTCACATCTGTAATCCCCGTGCTTTGGGAGGCCAAGGAGGGACAACTGCTTTAGGCCAGGGAGTTTAAGACCAGGCTGGGTAACATAGGAAGACCATTATCTCTACAAAAAATAAAAAATTAGCTGGATAGCGCGCACCTGCAGTATCAGTTATTCAGGATGCTGAGGCGGAGGGATCACTTGAGCCCAGCAATTTAAAGTTGCAGTGAGCTATGATCACACCACTGTATTCTAGCCTGGGTGACAGAGTGAGATCTTGTCTCTTAAAAAAAAATTAAAAAACTTAAAAAAGCTATCCAGGTGATTCTAAGGTACAGGCAGAGTTGAATACTACTAAACTAGGAGGAAAAAAAAGAAACTGTTTATTAAGCACAGATGAAGTATGCAACAAAAGACATTTATTGGCTAGTAGGTAAAGAGGGCCTTTTCACCAGCCAGATTCAAGTTACACATTCAAGAATGATTTGAGTAGTTATAGGTTTTTGTGATTATTTAATTTTTTAAAGAAAATTGGCAAGGAAGGAAGCAAACTAAATACTGTCAGCTTGCACTTAAACCACATTTGCACATATTAATTTCATCCTCAAAATACCTTGAGAGGGACCAGGCACGGTGGCTCACGCCTGTAATCCCAGCACTTTGGGAGGCTGAGGCAGGCCGATCGCTTGAGGTCAGGAGTTCAAGACCAGACTGGCCAACATGGCAAAACCTCGTCTCTACTAAAAATATAGAAATTAGCCAGGTGTGGTAGCACACGCCTGTAATCCCAGCTTACTAAGGAGGCTGAGGCAGGAGAATTGCTTGAACCCAGGATCGGGGGCAGAGGTTGCAGTGAGACAAGATTGTGCCACTGTATTCCAGCCTGGGCGAGATTCCATCTTAAAAAAAAAAAAAGCACAACAAAGCAAAAAAGCCTTGAGAAGTATATATTATTAAATTATTAAAAATAAACTTAGTCTCTAGGATTTGGATACATATTTGTCAGACAGCAGTCCTCCACACTTTTTATACTATGCAGAAGGATTTTCTTTGAGACAGTTTGTTTCAGAGAATTTTCATACTTTTCCAGTGTGAAAACAAATCAAAACAAAACAAAAATTAAAAAAGCAGGATTCAATGGCAGAGCACAGGATAAGGCAAACACATCTAAACAAGCACTTGAACCAGACCCTGTTCCTGTATTTCCCATGCATTTGATAGCAAACTCTGGGAAAAACATGTGAAGTTTATGGTTTAAATCTACACCAGCCTCTATACAAGATTATTTAGGAATTCTTCTCTTTTTATCCTAAGAAATGGCCCACCTACTGCCTTACTATTAGTGACAGTCACACATTCTTGGGAACAGGGTTGGGCAGGATAGAGCAGGGTGCTTATTCACAGTGCCTGACACTAAACAAGAATAAGGGTCTTAAAGGTGTTTTCATTTTCTTCCCAAACTCAAAGGATTATTAGAACTCCACCTCCCAAAGCAGTTTACAGACGGGAGTTTTGATGGGACATTTACAGCTAGTATGAAACTTTCAACTTTAACTTAAGCCATTAAAAGTCCTACATTAATGTACTCATTAAAAGCTATCTTTTAGCCTTGGTCAATACAGCGAGACATTGTCTCTATTTAAAAAAATAAAATAAACAAAATTAGCTAGGTGTGGTGTTGTACACCTGTGGTACCTGCTACTTTGGGGGCTGAGTTAGGAGGATTGCTTGAGCCTGGTAAGTTGAGGCAGCAGTGAGCCATGATCGAGCCACTGCATTCCAAACTGGGCAACAGAGACCCTATCTTAAAAGCTATCTTTAAAACATTTAGTTCCTAAGTTATTTGACCCATTTTAATTTTCAAATTAAAAGAGAGTTTTTCAGGGAAAAAAAAAAAAAAGGAAGCCCAGCCCAAAAGATTCTCGTCATTTCCATCAGCACTGATTCTTCTATCCTAAGGCCCATTATCTTTTCTCCTTTCTCAGGCCCCTACCTTGTAAAGTGATATTAACTCAAATGAGTCGTACTTGGTTGCATCAGAGGCAAACAGGAGAATACTTTGAACTACACAGAGTTCTCCCAAAGCATATTCCAAAACAAGAATATGTTGACAGGAGTAACTACTAAATGCACTGGCTTGGAGTATGGTTGTGTTTCTTTTTCATTTCAAATGGTGTTAATTATAATTTAATTATGCATAAAAATGTTTTGGGGTTTATTTAAAAATTACACCCTCTGTCAAAAGAAGAGGGTGAAGAGGAAAAAAAAGAAGTAATAGTTTATCCCTTACAGTCCTTCTCTCCAGTACATTTGGGGCTGGGCACTAAGATGAGCTGGAAAAATATACACCCCATTGATACGGGAGAAGCTACAACACTTCCCCATCCAATCCTTAACACATTAAAGACAGAACAAATCAACACCCGTTTTTCTCAATAACAAAGAATACATAAATTTCATTCATTTAAAGATGAACACCTATCATTTATATTATCTACTCCAAAACAAATGATTAGCTAATTCTCACATTCACATACCGTATTTAGGAGGCAGCCCTCAAAAACAACAACAAAAAGATGACCTAAGTTTTATAACGTGACCCCATCATAGAATTAAAATCTGACTTTTAAATTGACACTGGTTTTAATGGTGTGCGTGTATGTTACTTGTGACATGAAAAGCCATTTATATTTTTGGATGCTGGTAATCACCCTCCAAAATATAACTAGGCTTTACATGCAAGTAAAAATGGTGGGACAAATGCAAATTCAAAGATAAACCTACATAATGGTAAAGCAAGCTATCATTCTCTAATTGTAAAAGTGAAAAACACTATGAAATCAGTCCTTTTCTTAACAACTAACCTCAAATATTTTTCTGTTTTTAGTTCTAATTTCCATCCTATCCTCTCCCCACACATACTCCCACAAAGCCTCTAGAACATCAAGTAGAACACAATGTTATGAACAAAGTATAATAAACAAGATTGGACGTCAGTCAGTGCGCCTCTGTATAAATTTACTAAATCAATATATGTATGAATTTACTAACAAATGCTCCTAGTGATATTAAAACGAGAAATAATTTGTATATTGGCACCACTACAAGCAGCCAATGAGCATGAAGCAAGTTTTCACCTGGACCCTGCCAACACAGTCATGAAGACTTTAGGAAAATACCTAAGCTTGTTTCATAATACATGCACTTTTACTCCCCCCCCCATCCTTTAGTAAACTTTCTAGATATAAATTTTAAAATCTTAAAATTTATAATTAGTTACCAGCGCCCTTCATCCCACAGATCAGGTGTCCTACATTTTGTTCAGGTCCTGCCTTGAAAACAAACCCGATTGCCCCATTTTCTGCGAGGGAGCTCAGCTCCAGGCAGCTCCCTATGAAGTCACCGCGTTTGTTGTTTCAAAGATGCAATTAAATGAAAATGACACAAGGCTGTCGAACAGATTAGTTGGAAGTGTGCGGTGGTGTCGATCATATACGTGTATGGCCAATGAAAACTGTATTGCTGTAAATCTCTTAGTGATATTTCTCCCCATCCTCCTCTCTCCATTATATTCACAACAGAAGGAAATTAAACTTTGTAAGAATTTTCTTGACTTTGGTTTAACTTTAGCTTCCCAGCTGTCTGCTCTTACAGTATCACGTAATGAGCAAAGCGGTGGGGCTAGGGGGCCGGAGGGTAGAGTGTTAACTTTAGCAAGCAGAAGAAAAGCAATAAAAGACCTTGCATCAGACAGTGTCTCTCCCTCTGCCCCCTCTTCCTCTGCTTCCCCGCCATCCCACCCCCTTCTCGAGCCCTTACACACACATTCTTCTGGGCGGCCTCTAACCACACCATCTCCACAATCATTTGCAGAAATTAGAAACAGACTCCGGGAGCCCTTCCCTTAAGCACGCACAGAGCGGAGCTGTGCAAGCACGACGGGGCAATGTCACTCCCTATTACCCCACAATCTCTTACTCCCCCTGTGGGTTTCATTCCCGAGAATCCGGCTTTCTTCCGCAGAGGAGATGGATCTACCTAATTAGCAATGGAGTTTCATCTCATTCTTCCCCACTCCAGTCACCCCACCCCCACTCTAACGTACAAAAACACCCACCACCAAAACCAAAGAAAAGTTCCTTCTACCAGGGCAACCGAGGAGTTGGGTTTAGGGACTGGAGCGAAAGCAGAGAGAGGAGGAAGAGAACGAGCGCAATGTACTTTGTTTTGCACTTCTGCACATGCAGCGCAGAGCCCAGGGCGGCTCTCGTCCTTACCGGCTGGTCCCGAGACCGGGTCCTGCTACTGGAGCGCCGGGCGAGGGCTGCAGGGACGCGGCGTCGGGGCGGGCCGCCGGCAGCCGCCGCGGGCGCCGAGAGCCACCACCACTTCTCCCACAAGCGGCTGCGGGCGTGGGCTGAAGGAGCTGTAGAAGGAGCCTGGGGAGGGGGAGAAGAGGAGCAGCATCTCCTCCTCCTCCTCCTCGCCTCGGAAACGCTCCCCAGCGGCGATCCCGGCCGACTGCCTGACCCCCGAGCGCTCAACGCACCCCCGCCGCCCTACTGTGCTCGACGCCTCTCCAAGAGCTTCGCCAAAACCTTCTGGCGCGGGCGGCTCAACTCCTGTAGGCGACTCTGACCGCTGCCGAGGCGGACCGGGGAGCTACGGAGCACGGCTCGCCAGCACGACGGTCTCCAGGGGCCGTGAGCATGGTGTGTCACCCTCGCCTCAGCGTGGCCGCTGGAGCTACTCGCACCACTGGGGCTCCACCTCGGGCAGCCGCGCCGGCTCCGCCCCCCCGGTCCTGTCACTCAACCATTCCCCGGCACTGGGAGGACCGCAGATCTCCCACCCCGAGCTCCCCTCGACCTCATTGGCCCGCCTGGCATCCAGCTCCACCTCCTCCCTAGGGACGAGGTCGCCAGGGAGACCAGCGCCCCGGTTGCCATGACAACCAGTGCCTTGGGCCTGGCTTTTCGCGTTCTTCGGACTAGCCAGAGGCTCAGGTTGGTGACCGAGCGGCAGAGTTCCTAGCGCCTGCAGTGTGGTGAACTCCAACTTTTAGGCCAAGTTGAAAATGCAGCCGACGACCCCCACACTTCTAACTTCAGAATCAAAACTATGACCCTAGGGAGTGAGGAGGAGAGTGAAAAATGCGTAAGTGCTGGCTCCTCCCTTACTCTTCGCTGCCTCTCAGCCTTGTTTCTATATTCTCACGGGGCGCTTTGGTCTTTGAAAGGAAGAGGAGAATGGGGGAGAGGAAGAGCATGGCTTTGCCAGCTCCTTGCAGCAATATAGCAACTTAGAAATGGCGGGGTCAACGAAAAAAGCCCGGTGAGTTTTCCCACGGTTGTAAAGCTATCTTCAAAAGTGTGGTGACAGCACAACGCCAAATGCCCTAGGGAAAACTGAAATTCTCATATTTTTGAAAAAAGTTTGTAAATACTTGCCTTGTTATTTTATCTATGAGACTAAAATAATCCCGAAGTTTGAAAATTTAAGGAAAAGGTTTAACATAGTCGATAACCTCCCACTTTTCTATATACACTGAAATTTGGCCAAGGTATATCCAGACAGCTGTACCCCTCCTTGCTGCAAGCCGAAATATTTGAGTTTCAATAGTTAAACAAGAGAGTCTTGCTGAATTCATGAACAAATAATATCCTGTGATTTGAGTTTTGAAAGTTTTGGGTTATTCTCAGAGGTATAAGGTAAACTGGTCCACTCTGGAAAGGGTACCTGAAGATAAATTTAGTCTGAGACCCTTAATGTTGAGCCCTAGGTAAATCTGAATTTCATGGCTGGCTCCAAAGTGGAGAGATCTGAGGCTTATTTGGCTTCCCCAAAAAAAGTCAAAGCAGCAATCCTAGGTTCCCTAGCCCCTGAGGCTGCCATACATGTATGATGAATGAGGGAATTAATAGTAATGATTTATCTTTGGCGAGCACTTGAGTTTTCATTATATCATTTACTAAATGAATAACTATGATAGATATCTTCAGTCAAATATGCCTTACAAGTATGCATTGAATGTGATTACTCATAGGGCTAAACACAACGGAAAATACACAGCAGGATTTTAAGCTAAGTCCCCGCTCCCAAGGAGCTAACCTGGAGCCTAAGAAAGAAAACTAGCACTCTTGAAACAATTTGAGAACAATTATAGCTAAAATGTGCAGCCAAACTTTGAGTAGGTAGCAGCTAAGAGAAAGTTTGCTATGTAAAATGGGCTGGATTCCTCAGTTTATGGAAGAGGGGAATTTACACTGGGCTTTGATGAATGCAGCAAAGATGAGGAAAGTCAGTTGAGGGGAACAACAAAAACTAAACAGCAGCAGCAGGGATAAGTGGTGAAAGTAAATAACAGGCCAGGCTCCTTGGATGGGAAACACAAGTGGATGATTGGAGCCCTTTTCTCAGTTCTTCCCCCATTTTTAAATGTTCTGGATCATCTATCAGGGAGGTAGGAAAGGCAGGTTGGGAAGAACAGAAACTTTCATGAAACATCTGTCTCTGTTTGCCTCTGAAAGAAAGTTCATGTATTTATTGGAAAGAAAAGCAATATCCTTAATTAATGGCTGCAATAGCTTGTGGATTCACATCAGAAAGAAGGTATAGCAAGTATAGTGTTGTAAATTTCCGCAAAAGTAGACAAACCACAGTGTTGTTAGCTTTTTTCCTTTTCTTTTTCTTCTTCGTGTTTTTTTTTTTATTAAGGCCATTTCAGGTGGTTGCCCTCAAGGCATTTTCACCAGTAATCCCTCTGTTTTGGATGAGCTGAAAGACTGGTTTTAAAATACAATCTGTTAAAAAGTACACACAAGGGAAATCTACAGGTTAAATTCCTTTTGGATATAATGTAAAAGTCAATACTAACAAATGGAACCCAGCACTACATTACAAATAATATAACAAAATTAAGAGAAATTATTTCATGTGTATAGTTATGGCAATAGTTCAATAACAGAAAATTTTCTCATATGCTTGATTATATTAGTAAGTCAAAGGAGGAAAACATTATGAGGATCTCAGTTGATGCTGAAAAGGATTTTGTAAAGTCCAGCATCATTCCCAATAAAAATTAGAATTTGTAATAATTTAAATATATATATATGTTATACTAAAGCCAGCCACTTCCTTTATAACATAACATCATAATTATTCCTATTGAAGTCAAGTACAAGGCAAGAATGTTCACCATCACATTGTAACAATAGAAACGATAGCCAATGCAATTAGATATAAAATAGAAATAAGAAATTAAGTACTGTAAATAAGTCAGGGTTGTCATTTGTTTGCAAATAATATGAAAACTCCAAAGCATCAACTGAAAAGCTTTTAGAGGCAATAAAAGATAAATTAAGATAACTAGTTATAAAATTAACATACGGGGGGTGGGGCACAGTGGCTTATGCCTGTAATGCCAACACTCTGGGAGGCTGAAGTGGACAGATCACTTGAGTCCAGGAGTTCAATACCAGTCTGGGCAACATGGTGAAACCCTTTCTCTACAAACAATAAAAAAGTTAGCCAAGCATGGTGGGATGCACCTGTAGTCCCAGGTACTCTGGAGGCTGAGGTGGGAGGATTGCTTGAGGCCAGGATGTCGAGGCTGAAGTGAGCCATGATCCCACCACTGCACTACAGCCTGGGCAACAGAGTGAGATCCTGTCTCAAAAATAACAATAATAATAATAATAAAAAAACATATGAAAATCAAGAGCTTTCTCATGTATTATCATAACCAATTTGAAAATACAATATAAAAAGAATCCATCCCACTTACAGTAGCCACAGAAATTTAAGTAGCTAAAAATAAACACTAAAATAAATTTATAAAACTGGCTGGGCATGGTGGCTCACGCCTGTAATCCTAGCACTTTAGAAGGCCAAGGCAGGAGGGCTGTTTGAGCCTGGGAATTCAAGACCAGCCTGGGTAACATAGCAAGACCCCATCTTTATTTAAAAAAAATAAATACATACATAATGTAAAATATAAACAAAAGTTATAAGACATACTTTAAAAATGATATAATTTGTAGTGGACTATGATTGTGCCTATGATTAGCCACTGCATGCTAGCTTGGGCAACACAGCAAGATCCCTTCTCTAAAAAAAATTTTAGAATCATGACAGACTTATGAGAAATAACAATGTTTGAAATAAAAAAGCAATCTTCTTTTAAATTAAATACCAAGGTTGAAAGAATGTATAATTATCTTTTAAAAGTAAGTTATATATCCAGTATAATTTTTTGGGTTTTTTATTGTTGTTTTTTTTTGAGACACGGTCTTGCTCTGTTACCCAGGCTGGAGTGTAGTAGTGTGGTCACAGCTCACTGCAGCCTCAACCTCCTATGCTCAAGCTATCCTCCTGCCTCAGCCTCCCAAGTAGCTAGGACTACAGGTGCACACCACCATGCCCAGCTAATTTTTTAAAAAAGTTTTGTAGAGAGGGGTCTTGCTATGTTGCCCAGATTAGTCTCAAACTCCTGGGCTCAAGCAATCCTCCCTCCTTGGCCTCCCAAATTGCTGGGATTACAGGTGTGACCCACCACACCCAGCCTATCCAGTATAATTCTAATCAAATGTCCAACAGGATACTTTTAGGAATTTGATAAAATGATTTAAAAATTCATTTGGAAGAGTGCCATTCAAAAATAAGAAGAGTCTTAAAAAGAAAATAAATGAGTGGGAGTTACATAAAAAATATTAAAATAAAGTATAAATTAGAATGATTAGCAGCAGGCTCAAGCAGTCAACTAGGTACAGGCAAAGGGCGGGATGATGTGTATCATTCAGGTTACGGTGTTGAGAAACCTAGTTATTTCTTGTGTATCTTTTCAGACACACACACCTAAATATCCTTTTCCAAAGGATATTACTCATCTAGTATATTGATTTTTTAACTTCATAATATGTATTTTATTTCTGTTATCAGATGCTTTAGATGAGCCTAGTTCTTTTGAAAGGCTGTGTAGTATTCTCTTGCTTAGATGTAGCATAATTTATTTAACTCCTCACTTTTCAATGAGCATATACGTTATTTCCAAGTCTTTGCTATTCCCTTTTTTTTTTTTTTTTAAGATGGAGTCTTGCTCTGTAGCCCAGGCTGGAGTGCAGTGGCGCGATCTCGGCTCACTGCAAGCTCTGCCTGCCGGGTTCACGCCATTCTCCTGCCTCAGCCTCCCGAGTAGCTGGGACTATAGGCGCCTGCCACCATGCCCAGCTAATTTTTTGTATTTTTAGTAGAGACGGGGTTTCAAGTTGAAATATATCTCTTTGTAAACGATTCTGGCTTACATGTGGTGTACATCTGTAGGTTTAGCTTCTAGAAGTAAAATTGCTAGATTAAAGAACATTTTACTTTACTTTTTTTTTTTTTGAGACGGAGTTTTGCTCTTGTCACACTGGCTGGAGTGCAATGGCGCAATCTCGTCTCACTACAACCTCCGCCTCCTGGGTTCAAGCGATTCTCCTGCCTCAGCCTCCCGAATAGCTGGGATTACAGGCACAAGCCACCACGCCCGGCTAATTTTTGTATTTTTAGTAGAGATGGGGTTTCACCATGTTGGCCAGGCTGGTCTCCAACTCCTGACCTCAGGTGATCCACCCGCCTCGGCCTCCGAAAGTGCTGGGATTACAGGCGTTGGACCATTGTGCCCGCTCACATTTTACATTTTGATAGACAAAACCGGGCTGCCTTCCAGATAAGTGGTACAAGTTCCAGTCATCCTAACAAAGACGGAAAGTTTGATAGCATACTGTGTTTCCCCACATCTTCACCAATACAGCATTATCAAACTGTTTTTATCTTTCCCAGTCTAATAGATGTAAAATGATATCTCATTACAGTTATAATTTTCTATTCTATTTGAGGATATTTTTCTCTGCTTAAAAGCCATTTTTTTTTCTGTTACCAAAAATATTCTCCCATATTTTCTTTTAAAATTTTTATGGCTTTGTTTTTCACATTTTATTCTTTCATCCATATGGAATTTATTTTGGTGGTAGCAGCAGCGACCCCTTTGTCCCCACATCTTTACCTAATAATTCAGCTTTCCCCCCACAGAAACGAAATCCTCTCTGTATCATATTCAAATTCCTGTATGTTCTAGGATCTACCCTTAAGCTCTTTTCTGTTTAATAACATTTAGATTTCCATATAAAAATCTGAGTCATAACATACTAGAAGGAGGTATGAGTGAATTTATTTAGAGCATTTGAGTCTTGTTTCTACACGTGATAAAAACCAAAAACTTAAAATAATTTGTACATTTTACTACATAAAATATAATAAAAAGTTTCTGTAAGTAATAGAAAGATCATAGGTTAGTTTATTCCATTTGGAAGTACAATTTCAATGTCTTTCACAATTTATGTTTGTATCCTTTAATTTATTCTACTTCAGAAATTTATCCTACATATATTTATATACATGACCAGATATGTGATCAAGGATATTCATTGCCTTATTGTTGATAGTTATAAAATCAAAAACAAAATAAATGTCCATGCTAACAGAATGATTAAACTCTGGTAAACCAATATATATGATCTAGCAACAGAATCAAGTTGCCATATAGTATGATCTGATTTCTGTTTAAAAATACCTATATCTATAAATATATATGGAGATATTTTTCTGTTAACTGTTTGAGGATTATAATTACGGAAAACATTGCATTTCTGAAATTAAAAAAAATCTTTACAACCATATGTTACTTTTGTTATAAAAGATCCACATCATTTATTGCTGCTACTACTAAGGAAATTAGAAAGCTGGCCATAATAAATATTGGCCTTTAAGTGGCATATGGGTTGTTCATCACTTTGGGACCGTACTCATGACACACTCTAACTCAAGAATATTTTATGTTGGACCCATGAACAACCACATAATGGAGCCCCCAGACTGTATTCCAGTATTTTATGTTGGACCCATGGACAACCACATAATGGAGCCCCCAGACTGTATTCCAGGTATGTGTGATTGTGCTTTTTTCTAGGGAAAATGTCCATACTTTTTTTCTCCTTTTAAAAGATGGGTCTTGCTCTCTTGCTCAGGCTGGAGTGCAGTGGCTATTCACAGGCACAGCCATACTACACAGCGGCCTCAAACTCCTGGGCTCAAGTGAATCTACAGCCTCAGCCTACCAAGTAGCTGGGACTAGAGGCACGCATTGCCACACCCAGCTTCATCCATAATTTTTTGACAAATTCACAAAGGGGTCTATATCTCTCCAAAGTGTTAAGAGTGTGTGTTTTAAATGCCAGTGATTTTTAAATGCCACCTTTTACCTCAAAGGCTGAAATGAATTCTGGGCTAATCTAAATCTGTAAATAGCAATGTTTTCCCAGCTGGCTTCTTGTGTTCATCTCAATGTGAAATATTTGCATTCTGGCTTGTACCAACTATGTTAGTGTTTTTCCCTACTTTAAGCCCAGGAGCATATTATCCTTTCTTGCTTACAGAGTAAGAGCTGTGATGGGAACGTTGCCCAGGTGAGAAGCAGAAGCAAGATAAGTAATCCACTAAAACATGAGCAGATAATTGAAGCACAAATTCTGACAGTGCTTAAGGAAGACTTTGTGAGGCAATACTAACACTTCCAAGTGAACCAAGAATTAGCTGGGGAAAAAAAATGCAGTGATAGAAACCAGATAGGACTAGAATTACCTTCAGGTCCATTGAATACAAAAGTTATTTTCTTTTGGTAGTAGCTGAACGCTCTTTAAAATTTGAGAATTCCCCTAGGATGCAGAGTCACATGACAGAAATGACAGAGATAACTAAACACTGGGACAAAGTACATTGAAAAGAACACAGCGTTTGCACTCAGAAAACCTAAGTACAAATCTTGGCAAGCCACTTAACTTCTTTGAGTATCTTCCTCATTTGTAAAGTGAAGGAAATAAGAATAGCGAATATGTTCCACACATGATAGCCTGTAATGTTTTTTCAATATTCAGCAGGAGCAAATACAATATATGCATGAAAACTGTAAGCTTTAGGCCACTATTTTTTAAAGCCAAACAACAAAAAGCTTTACAGGTTTTTGGAATTGCTGGATATTTTAGGCTTGAGATAATTTTTGGACTTAATTTTTTCGTTCTGAAGAGAAACTTTGGAAAATATTTACAGGCACCAGGACTCGCTAGATCTATGAAATACTAAGACAGAAAAATTTAATTGTGGTGCTCCTGTAACTTCCACTTTTCTTTGCAAATGAACTTCTTTTGTATATTTAGCTTATTTCCCGTTTTCCCCTACTGGCCCCAAACTGACCAGGGCTAGTCAGTTACACTTATTAGAGCTGGCTACACCATAAAAGCAACCATCTATTCTTACTTGATTTTCCAGGTGCTTCAAGGCTCTACCCGAACCAAAACATTTCCCTCACCTAAATTTTTTGGCTAGAAATTCTCACTTTTAGTTATTAATGAGTTAAACTGCAAAGGTTTTATCTTTAGAAAGTCATAGTTAAAATTCACTTTATTTTCTAGCTTTCTCTCTTCACACGTTAATGTGGATTGGTTTATCAGATTAGTTAGTTGTCATTTTAAACCCTAAAGGAGAGAGATACTGGAGCTGCAAATTCAAATTAACGAAGGGGAAGTAGGAAAGAGGGGAAGCCAGTTTCGATGATGAGTGAAAGACAGAGAGAGGAATTTGGTGGGGGAGAGGTATGTGGTATGAGGGTGGCCCTCGGGGCTGATGATACCAAGGGAGGGGATCAAGGAAGTATATGTAGTACTAAAGGGGTGTGGCACTGAAGTCAAACTGCCTAATTCACAATTTTTACTAGGGTTGGTCCTGTCTCTGACTCATTTCTACTACTTGTCCTGGCAAGTTATGTAACTGCCTATTCAGTTTGGTTGAAGGGAATATGGCAAATAAGCATAACCCTTCTGTATTTTTGAAACTTAGCCATGTTAGAACATATACTAAGTAATTTAATGTGAATATGCTCTAATCCTGACCCACAGGGACTTGCCTTAGGGTTCATGGCTGCTAATCTTGATTTGTAAAAGTGTTCCCAGAAATGAAGACCAAGACAGAAGTTAAGCTTTCTAGTTTATCTTCTGTCTTAAAGAGTGTGATTTCATATTGTCTGATGGGAGTGAGCTGCTGTGCAAGAAAATTGATAATTAAAGGCTTTGTTAGGTGGAATTAGAGCATTTAATTTAAACAGGCATCACTTGAAAATAATTTTTTTAAGTCGATTGTCTTGATTTTTACATCTCCCCCTATAATGTCTAGTAGAAAACTTAGGAGGAAAATGGTCATATCTACAGAGACTAGTTATTAATCTAGAGCCAAACCCAGACTTACGATATTCATATTAAAAGGGGAACCTGCCACATTCAACAACATGAAGAGGGGAAATTTGTCTTAGAGAGCTGAAACGATTAGGATGAGTAGTTCTT
The DNA here is from genome assembly GCF_000001405.40 of Homo sapiens. Lineage (NCBI taxonomy): Eukaryota > Metazoa > Chordata > Mammalia > Primates > Hominidae > Homo > Homo sapiens. The sequence goes on along the minus strand of NC_000004.12, from coordinate 86,585,636 downwards.
CAGCTATTCTAAAAAGTTAAAGTAGAGAACTATAAAATATTATACATATATGATGTAAGCATTATATTTTCACTAAAAACCTACCGTTATGCATTCATTAGCCAGTCTTTGGATGCTGGGCCAAGGCCTTTTGACCATCGATCTACTGTTGGGAGTTCTAGATTGTCTTATTTACATAAACACTTTCCATAATGCAAAACCAACAGTTTTTTGTTTTAGTTTTTGTTAAAGGGAACATATAGCTTGAGGACACTTGTGAAACAATGAGTTTAGAATGCTTCCATTAAATATATTTTTGTAATATATTCCAGTTTTCTTGCCCATAGTAATTTGTGGCAATGATTTGTCTTTCCATAGCATTCAATTTCATTTTTAAAAAATGAAGAGAGATTACTACTGCATACAGAGTCTTGGAGTGTGGAGGGGGAAATAAGACTTTTTACCCTTCTAATGATATGGTTATTACGGTATACCATTAATATGAACCTAAAGAAGTATAAACTCTACTGCCTTTAATCAAAGAATATACTCCAGTTACTCGGCTTTCAATAAGCATTCTCTTGCTTTCTTGTTTGAATAATCTTCCTTTCTCCGGTCCAGTTCTCTTAATGGGAAAGTCTTCTCAATAGCAGCTTGAATTGGATTAAAAGTTGGATAAAAGTGTTAGATAAAAGTCCTGGATTGGATATTATTGAGCTACTGTCTTGGACTTTTAATCCAAGACTTTTATTGGATAAAAGTCTTCTCAATAGCAGCTTCAAGCTTCTCTTCACCAATAGCAGCTTGAATTGGGTGAAGAGTTAAAGTATCTGTTAACCAAAAATCACCTTCTTCATAACCCTGTCAGTTTGTCTACAAACTAGATTCCAGTTACATTAATAATGCAAATTTAGGCCAGGCAAGGTGGATCACACTTGTAAACTCAGCACTTTGGGAGGCTAAGTGGGAGGATCACTTGAACCCAGGAGTTTGAGATCAGCCTGGGCAACAGCCTGTAGACCCCATCTCTACAAAAAATTTTAAAAATTAGTCAGGTGTAGTGGTGTGCACCTATAGTCCCAGCAACTTGGGAGGCTGAGATGGGAGGATTGCTTGAGCCTGGAAGGTGGAGGCTTCTGTGATCTGTGATGGTGCCACTGCACTCCAGCCTGGTGACAGAGTGAGACCCTCTCGTAGGAACTCCATACTCCCCAAAATTTCTTACCACTCCCAATATTTCCAGGATTTTTCAAGACATATTAATATATGCTCTGTAAACTTCCTTTGTTTTTCCACTTAGACCTCCTAAAAGTTTAATACCTGAGTGTCACTTACTGTAGAGTTTCCTGACACGTCTGCTGCTGCTTATACCCTCTGTGACAGAATTAATCTTGATGTTGTAGGGATTGTCTCTCAGTGATTCCCAAACTGCCTACCAAAGAGCTAGAGCTGGGCTGGGCTTAACTGCAGAAGTGAGGCCACCACTGTGCCATACTTTGTCAGTTGGTTCTTGAAGCAGCACCAGTTGGGTTCACTATATCACAAAGTCTCTAATAAAATTAACTATTTTATATGGATTATCACCCTACATACACCCATGCATGCACACACACAGACATACACACACTCACACACATTCATACATTCATTACCTGTCTTTTAACCAAAAGTAAAACACATCTATGCATAAATTCATTCACCAGCCCTTTCTTTGAGAAATCACCAGCCCTTTCTTTCAGCAAATAGCTAGACTCTGATAATCAGGATATTACAAGGGGGTGGAAGGTGGGTACCTCAATTTAGATAAGATAAAAGATATCTTTTATTTAAAGCACTGTTACCTACTTTGGGCATGTGATCATATTTTTCTCAGAATATGAACTCTTTTAGGGCAGTGCATCAGAAAGACTATTGGCCCCAAGTAACAGAGTATCTGATAAGCAGTGGCTTAAACAGAAAGGGTTATTTTCTCACATTAGAAACCAGGTAATAGGCAACTGCTTCTGACAGTGCAGTAGCTCAACAATATCCAATCCAGGATCACTGCAATTATCTTTACCTTCCTCTTAAAGTCATAACAGGACTGCAGCAATTCCACACATTCGATCCTCTTTCAAGACCGAAAAAGAATGATGGAAAACTGCGTTTTTTTAATGTAGAAAAACTGACTTTCCCCCAAAAGACTTCTCTCTAGTATTCTTTCACCTACATATTGATGGCCGGAATTATGTCTTATGACCACTTCTGATTGCAAGGAAAGCAAGGAAGCAAGTACATAGCTTTTCTAGCTTCTAGAAAAGGTAGGCATGAGATGAAGGGATTGAAAATATATGGGGGCCAGGCGTGGTGACTCACGCCTGTAATCCCAGCACTTTGGGAGGCCGAGGCGGGCAGATCACAAGGCCAGGCAATCGAGACCATCCTGGCTGATACAGTGAAACCACGTCTCTACTAAAAATACAAAAAAAAAGAAAAGAAAATATATGTTAGTTTACTTAGGTAACTGTACTACCTAAGTAAACTACTTAGGTACTTTAGGTACTGTACTACATGGGGGTACTACAGACAGAGTTAGTGTTCACTGGGTGGTGAGGGTAGGGTGAACAGGTTATTTGGATGTAGTAACAATAAGTTTTTCCATCAATCACTAATTAAATAAGAAAGATCTTTATGAGCTATTTCAATTTAACAAAAAATTTTAAATGATTATTTGGTTTTTGAATAATACAATAATATTTTCATAAAATAATATGTTAATTTTATTTATATCACCTAATTATATTAATAACACATTCAAATATAACCACAGTAGTAAGATAAAAATATAAATTATCAACTAAAATGCAAAAATCTTATAAAAGATTAAATTTTATGTAAAGTATCATTGTTTTCTCAGCTACTATAGAAAGTGTCCTATCAAATTACCAGTCTTTGAGGGCTCATTGGTTTAGTTCCCAATTCCTGTTTGACAGTCATCAGTGCCAGGCCACTGCCTCTCTCTTTTCCCACAGTGTCGTTTGTGTAAGTGGTTTTTTTAGATGACATAGATGATTATTTCAGTCTTGCTCTAGTTATAGATTAAGCCAAGTAAATGGAATAGCTTTAAGGAAAAGGAGGCCTGTTTTGGGAGGGCAAAGAGCCAAGGTAGTTATTTGATATGATCATGAATAAAGATAAGGTTCGTATAATTTTGGTAAAATCAAGGTTCTAAGTTTATATTTGCAAGATATGTGCAAAAACCCTTGCTTGATTTTGTCTGTTTCAAACTACTATAGTAATCACTTTCTAAATAGCATGTATTTATATTAGTAATATGGTATCTAGTACTTGGAAATTATGCTAATTTTATACTGAACTTATAACAAAGTAAACAAAAACGTATTAGCAAATTTGCCTTGTACTTACAAATTTCTTCTTCTCAAAAGGGATTTTTAATTTTGAAAGAGTTAGAGATTACATTTGGCTTACTTTTTCTGTTTTCCTAAATGCGTTTTATATTTGCTGTTACTTTCACTTTTACAGATTACAAACAATAAACGATTTCTTGTACTTTTGAAGACAAAGAAAAAAGCCTGTAGATTCAGTATGAAGCTCCTGAGAATTCCTATTACACTTGGCACCTGATAAATGATATTTTAACAAAAAATAAGTTCCTGTTTGGACATCAGTTGTGCAAACCACTTGATTCACATGCCTCTGCAGTATTAGAATATATATATATATATATATATATATATATATATATATATATATATATAATATATATAGCTTAAAGTGTTTTACTAATTTCCAGAAACTTATCAGTGCCAGCAAATAACACATAAGAACATACAGCTCAGTTGGTGTGTCCAATTAATAATGTTTTTAAAAATTGATAGTCTATTCAAAGATACATAGAGGTTGTATAAAGAATTTAGAGTTCTTATACTTCATCTTCACCAAAATAACACACACACACACACACACACACACACACACACAATAACTGAAAAAAAAAGATAGCTTAGTTATACAAAACAACCAGAATAAATATAACAAATTTCTTTAAATAGAACACCTGCTGGGGAAATGTGGCATGATTGAAATATCATCGATTGCATTTTGACAACATGCTTACCATTTTTCTTTGTTATTTTTGTGCTTGTGAACATATATAATTTTGAAGAATCTCGACTTAATTTTATTACAGCACTAATATAATTTGTATTTGACATTTTTATTATATTTCTAGTAACACATTACTAATTTCAACCTTTAGAAGGTTGCATTGCTTTGCCTATGGTAGTTATTCAATAGATATTGAATTTACTTTTATTATTTTATATGTGTTGAAATTATTTCTCTTCCTGTTTTAGGGAATAGAGCTGATCTTTCCATTTTTTTCTGTATTTTTTTTTTTAAATTTCAGACAAGGGTATGTCCATATGCCATAAGAAAGTCAAATAGACATGGTGCAAAACCCTCTGATTGTCTGCTAGTACAATTCTAGCAGTTCTGGCAATAAGTTGAATCCATAAAATGCAAAGTAATTTTTCACTTGAAATAGAAGACAGGAAACTAATTTAATATGTACCCAAAAGATAATATTCATTTAGAATTGAAGCAAAACACCATTTATTCAAAGACAACTGACTATAAAATAGGATTCTCCTGTGGCATTAGGGTAGGCTTTGCACTCTGGGAGAATCTTGGAAGGGCCACAGAGAAACTCTCACCTTCCTTTGATTTCACAACTCCAGGTCAAATCAGGCTGTTTATCCGCAGGAAGTAGAGATATGTTGGGGTTAACTTGGTGTACAGTTGTCATGTGTTACATTTTTCTTTCTCTCCTCTACCAACTCCACATTCTGAGCTCCATTCAAAGAAATGTGTGTCCACATGAGTTATCCATGTTGCATGGAGTAGAAGGGAGGGTTTATTTATACAATCTCAAGCCCCTTAGCTCCCATTAAAATCTTGCTAGAAAAAAATTGATTTCAATGTGATTATTTAGGTTTTTAGCATTTGAAAAATGATCTTTGACTATCTCAGGATTTTTTTAAATAGAGAAATTAAAATATTTGATAAAGTTGCATATTTAAAATTTAGAAGTACAGAAAATGATGCAAAATTAAGGCAAAGTAAGAACATTAAGACCACTGATTTACTTTTTTTTTTCTGAGGTGGAGTCTCGCTCTGTCGCACAGGCTGGAATGCAGTGGCCTGATCTCAGCTCACTGCAACCTCTGCCTCCTGGCTTCAAGCAATTCTCCTGCCTCAGCCTCCCAAGTAGCTGGGACTACAGATGTACGCCACCATGCCCGGCTAATTTTTGTATGTTTAGTAGGAGCGGGGTTTTGCCATGTTGATCAGGCTGATCTCAAACTCCTGACCTCAAGTGATCCACTCACCTTGGTCTCCCAAAGTGCTGGGATTACAGGTGTGAGCCACAGCGTCCGGCCAACTTTTATACAAAGGGTATTTAGTCTAATTATTAATTTGTTTCCAAACATACTGCTTGCTAAAGTACACTTTTTCTTTAAGTTGGCTTAACTAGTAACTCATAAAAACAGGCCACGGACGGTGTCTCACACTGGTAATCCCAGCACTTTGGGAGGCAGGAGGATCACTTGAAATCCAGAGTTCAAGAGCAACCTGGGCAACACAGCAAGACCTCTATCTACAAAAAATAAAAATAATTAGTCCGTGTGGTGGCAGGCATTTGTAGTCCCAACTACTTGGGAGGCTGAGGTGGGAGGATCACTTGAGCCTAGGAGTTTGAGGTTACAGTGAGCTGTGATCGTGCCAATGCACTCCAGCCTGGGTGACAGAGCAAGACCCTGTCTCTTAAAAAGAAAAATCTAAAACATAGAAAACATACATCTGATTTTAAAAATATTTTTCTTTTAGTGTATCTGAGAAGTGAAAAACTTAAAAATTGTCCAGTAATTATTATGGTGGTTAATATTTTTAATGGAAATATAATCTCTGGAATTAAATTTTCTCAGTTGTTAAATGATAAGTATCTTCAAGGTGGCCAGACTTTGCTATATTAAATTGTATCCCAAAACATTTTATGTGAAATAAAGCAAGACATAGAAGAGTGCATATGGGAAATATAAGAAAGTGTGTGTGTGTGTGTGTGTGTGTGTGTGTGTGTGTATACACATATCCATATTTGCTTGTATTTATATAAAGAATTACTGAGAGGATTCAGACTATAAAAATGGTTATTTGTAGAGAACTGGGAAGAATGAGGTAAATGTGCATGGCAGCAGGTTCAAGACTTCTTACTGTATGCTGATATCTTTTACTTTTTGAAACATGTGAAATTACCTAGTCAGAAAAAACAAAAGAAAACAAAAAGTACCTTAAACAGAAAGAGAAACACCTGAGAAAGGAAAATGGAGATGTGGGTAAGGAAACAGAGATAGGAAAGTTTCTTGTAGATGGCTTCTGTTTTCTCTGAGGCTAAGGAGTGGGATAATCTGCTGATCCAATGTACTGCTGTAGTAGTAACATAAACTTTGTATCTTTCTTCCTATCTTTGCCGTATATCCTGTTGAATTAAAGATACATTCTCACTGGCAGAAAATATTGGGTGAATTTCCAAGTTAGATTTGTTTTTTCCATATGACTTTTTAGATTATATCACATTTATTAACTTAAAAATAATTATTAAGAATAAAAGTGTCATCCTTATTTCACTCACTTCCAGTGTTTTCTTGAACAACTTCACTGTTCCTCTAATGTTGATGTTTTAATATATGTAATGATAGAGTTGGTAATCTATCTTCCAGATTTTTAAACAGAAAATCTTCAAGATTTTCTGTTTAAAATGCTTCATTATGTCACAAGTTGGAACTTGAGGTGCAAGACGTCAATCAAGACAAAAGTTCTCTTATTCTCTCCTCCATGAAACTTTTTCCCTCTTTTCATTCATTACAAATATTTGCTGCTAGAAAACTCTTATAAACTGCATTTTAATAAATACTCTCAAATATGGAAAACAATAATTAAGCTGAAAATTATCTATGATTTGAATGTTCACAAATAGTTTAACCTTTGAAAATAAGCATATTACAATTCAAATAGTGCTTCAGGTCTTTTAAGAGAACAGTGAAAAACAACACACAAAAGCACAATAATAGTTTATGGCCTTTATTCTCCATCTCAGGTTATGTCTTTGTAGAAGCAACCACTTTAATTCTTCCAGCTTTTTCTTCTGATTTTATCTTCATGTTTCTAAACAACATCATTAGACTGCTATTGAAAGGCAGAGTAGTAAGGTGGTCAAGAGCTGCTGGGATTTAAATCCCAGCTCTCCCACTGCCATTCCTTTTCATTCTGGATATTATTTCTTAACCAAAGCACAATTGATATTTTGTGCCAGATAATGATTTGTGGTAGGGAGCTGTACTGTGCACTACAGGATGTTTAGCAGCATCCCTGGCCTCTACCCACTAGATGCCAGCAGCACTGCCACCCCAGCTATAACAACTAAAAATGTCTCTAGGTATTGCCAAATGTCCCCTGGGGTTGGGAGCAACATCACCCCCAGTTGAAAACCACTGATCTTGGGGAAATTAACTAAATTTTCTGTGTTTTTGCTCGCTCATCAGCAAACTTGGAATTAGTAATACCAACCTTAGAAATTACTACCTTATTAATATAGGTATTAATAATACCAACCTTAATTCCAATTGACTTGGAATTAATACTAACCTTAATCCTAGTATCAGGATTACATGGATAGTATTTGTGAAGCACTTACTGCCTAGACCACAATAAATATTCTATAAATATTTACTCAATAAAATGGTATTTAAAATTTTTCTTCTCTGTTTTATCCATTAGACTTTCATGCCCCTGTTTTTCCAATTCAATGATCTCAATTTCAATTTTGTCAATATTCAGCCTTTATAACGATTGCAACCACGTAATTACTCAAAACTGAGTTGCATAGAGTATTTGGATTATATTAATTTTCTTGGGCTATTTTATTTTCCTTCTGGAGTAAATAATTGTCCTTTTTTGTTTGCTTGCTTGGTTTTCTGTGTGCTTAAATGTCCCTAAACTATCAGAAACATAAATCTCCTCTCAACAAGGTTGGCAAACAAACACATTTTTCCATTTCAGGGACTTTCTTATTAGAGCTTTGCATTCTCCTACTCTAATATGTACTTGTTCTTTAGGCCTGCTGCATAGATGTCATTCTGGAATTTCTTTGTATCATTGTTCTGGGGATTCTCTTTATCTTTATTGTGTGTTTGATTCTTTATTTCTGAGTCTTATGTCCTTTTCCTTCTAGTTTGCTCTTTTGATTTAATGGCATACATCTTTCTTTTTAATTAAAAAAAATTTTTTTGAGACAAGGTCTTTCTCTGTCACCCAGACTAGAGTGCAGTGTCATGATCACAGCTCACTGCAGTCTCAACCTCCCAGGCTCAAGCAATCCTCCTACCTCAGCCTCCCAAGCAGCTGGTATTACAAGTGTGCACCATCACATCCGGCCAATTATTTTTTGTAGAGGTGGGTGGTTGCGGGGGTTCTCACTACATTGCTCAGCTTGTCTCAAACTCTGGGCTCAAAGACAACCCTCCCACCTCGGCATCCCAAAGAGCTGCGATTACATGTGTAAGCCAATATAGTGGGCCTAAAAATGCATTTATACTAAATATAATGTTGGAAATTCTTTTACCTCAAAATATTAAAAGCAGCGCTCTATTGTCTCTGGACTTTCAGAATTGCAGCTGAAAAGTCTGTCATTCTAGTTCCTGAGTTTTTAAATGTAAATTGTTTTCCCTCAGTGGAAGGTTTGGGATCTTTATCCTAAAACCTTCGTCTAGTGTTCAGACATTTCACAATAATTAACCAATTATAGGTTTTTTGTTTTTTTTTTTTGGGACGGAGTCTCGCACTGTCCCCTAGGCTGGACTACAGTGGCGCGATCTCGGCTCACTGCAAGCTCCGCCTCCCGGGTTCATGCCATTCTCCTGCCTCAGCCTCCCAAGTTAGCTGGGACTACAGGCACCCGCCACCGCGCCCGGCTAATTTTTTGTATTTTTAGTAGAGACGGGGTTTCGCTGTGTTAGTCAGGCTGGTCTTGATCTCCTGACCTCATGATCCACCCGTCTCGGCCTCCCAAAGTGCTGGGATTACAGGCGTGAGCCACCGCGCCCGGCCTACTATAGGCCGTTTAAAATCATGCTGGGCACTGGAAATTCAGGTCTTTCAGTTTAAGAAATGTTCTTGCATTATAACGCTATTAACTACTCTACCTGCCACACCCCCACCCCGGTTTAGTATCTCTGTTCTTTGTAGAGCTACCATTAATCAGATGCTAAACCTCTAATTTTCTTATGCTGCTTCTTGATAATTTTATTCTTATTGTCTTCCCCCCTCATTTTCTGAGAAATATCTTAGATGTCATCTTTTTCCACTGAATTTTTATGTCCTATTTTTAATTTACAGGAGCTCTTTCTGGATCTTTGAATGATTCTTTTAAAAACATACAGTATTACCTGGGCATGATGGCTTGTACCTTTAATCACAGCTACTCAGGAGGCTGAGGTGAGAAGATCACTTAAGCCCAGGAGTTTGAGGTAGCAGTGAGCTATGAGCATCACTGCACTCCAGCCTGGGCAATATATAATACACACACACACACACACACACACGCATACACACACAATATTATGTTATGTTACCTAGCATACAATATCTTCTCTCATCTCTTTGAAGGTGACAGTGATACTTTATTTACTCCAAATGCTATTTTTTTCTGTTTATTGTTATCTTCTCTCTCATGTTAGAGGTTTCCCTCAAATGACTTGTGATCTTTGTCTACCCTTTTGTGTTTAAGAATGAGTTACTACATCATAACCCCATCATACACCATGGAGTGTTTTTGGTTATGATGTAGTAACTCATTCTTAAACACAAATGCAAGTTTGCTTTACCATTTAAAAAGTAATCAATGTAACTCTGCATATCAACAGACTAGAAACAAAACAAAAACAACATATGATCTCCTGTGTCATCCCCTCCCAAAGCATTTGAAATAAATGTAATAACCATTCAAGATTCAAAAAAAGAAAAATAAAACTCAGCAAATTAGGAGTAGAAGATAACGTCCTCAACCTGATAAAGGATATCTACCAAAAAACTAGAGCTGACATACTTAATAATGAAAGATATTTATTTTCTTTTAAAAATCAGGACCAAATAAAATACATTTGTTCTAACTACTTGTGTGTATTAGTCAGCTCCAGAGAAACAGAACCAATAGGATGGATCTCTTTCCCATCCGATTCCATAATCCATATTATGATATCAAATATCCATAATATCTGAGATATTAGAGGAATTGGCTGACATGATTATGGAGGCTGAAAAGACCCACAACCTGCCATCTGCAAGTTGGAGACCCATGAAGGAAAGTGGTATAATTTCAGTCTGAGTCCGAAGGCCTGAGAATCAGGGGAGAATCAGTGCGAATCTTAGTCTAAGGGCAGGAGAAGGCCAATGTCCCGGCTCAAACAGGCAGACAGGAAGAAAAGAAGGGAGTTTCTCTTTCCTCTGTCATTTTGTTCTATTCAGGCCCTCAACAGATTGGATGATGCCCACCCACACTGGGAAGGGCAATCTATTTTACTGAATCCACTGATTCAAGTGCTCATCTCATTCAAATACATCCTCATAGACACATGCAGAAATAATGGTTAATTTGTGCACACTTTGGCACAATCAAGTTGACATGTTAACCATCATATTTTGTTAAATCATATATTAACTGCCCTGTTTAGAGCAATGAGGCAAGAAGAAGAAATAAGAGGTGTACAGATTATAAAGGAAGAAATAAAACTATCAGCATTCTCAGATGGTGTAATTTGCCCCCCATCCCCTCCCAAAGATTATTTAAAATTCTACTAAAATTAATAAGTGAGTTTAGCCAGGTCACAGAACATAAGATTAACATACAAAAGTAAGTTGTATTTCTTAGCCATAGGTCTGACTTTAAAAAAAATTGCATTTCTCCAAATCAAAACCACAATGAGATACCATCTCACACCAGTTAGAATGGCAATCATTAAAAAGTCAGGAAACAACAGGTGCTGGAGAGGATGTGGAGAAATAGGAACACTTTTACACCGTTGGTGGGACTGTAAACTAGTTCAGCCATTGTGGAAGTCAGTGTGGCGACTCCTCAGGGATCTAGAACTAGAAATACCATTTGACCCAGCCATCCCATTACTGGGTATATGCCCAAAGGACTATAAATCATGCTGCTATAAAGACACATGCACACGTATGTTTATTGCGGCACTATTCACAATAGCAAAGACTTGGAACCAACCCAAATGTCCAACAATGATAGACTGGATTAAGAAAATGTGGCACATATACACCATGGAATACTATGCAGCCATAAAAAATGATGAGTTCATGTCCTTTGTAGGGACATGGATGAAATTGGAAATCATCATTCTCAGTAAACTGTCGCAAGGACAAAAAACCAAACACCGCATGTTCTCACTCATAGGTGGGAATTGAACAATGAGAACACATGGACACAGGAAGGGGAACATCACACTCTGGGGACTGTTGTGGGGTGGAGGGAGGGTGGAAGGATAGCATTAGGAGATATACCTACTGCTAAATGACGAGTTAATGGGTGCAGCACAGCAGCATGGCACCTGTATACATATGTAACTAACCTGCACATTGTGCACATGTACCCTAAAACTTAAAGTATAATGATAATTTAAAAAATTGCATTTCTCTATATACTTGTAATTAAACAATTAGAAATTGACATTTAAAAAATATAACAATAGCATCAAAAAGGATGAATAATAAGGGATAAATCTAAGAAAATGTGGAAAATTTCTATATTGAAAACTATAAAACATTGGTGAATGAAATGAGAGAAAACTTAATAAGTGGAGAGACATATCACGTTTATGGATTCAAAGACTTTTTAATGGGTAAATTTATCTCACATTTATCTATAGAATCTGTGCAATTTCAATCAAGATATAAGCAGCTTTTTGAGTAGAAATTGATAGGCATATTCTAAACTTTGTTTGGAAATGCAAAGGACCTCGTATAAGCAAAATGATTTTAAAACAGAAAAACAAGAAAGGCCTCCCACTGTCTGATTTCAGTACTTATTCAGCTGCAGTATTCAAGACAGTGTAGTATTGGGAGTAAGGATAGCTATATAGATAAAGATAGTACAGAAAGATGCCCACATATATTCAATTAAATGATCCCAACAAAGATGAGAGAGTAATTTCATGAGGTAAAACATTGTTAGTAAAAGGTGCTGGAACATCCATATGCAGAAAACTGAAGCTAAAACCTATCTCCACCATATAAAGAAATTAACTTGAAATTGTACATAGATCAAAATGTGAAACCTAAAGCGATATAAATTGCTAGGGGAAATTCTTTGTGACCTTTGATAGTAAAGCTTTCTTAGGTAAGACATAAAAAGCATCAACTATTAAAAAATTGGAAAATTAGAGTTTATAAAAATTAAGACCTTGTGCTCTTCAAAAGATTCCTGCAAAAGTGAAAAAATAAATAAAACAAGCCACAGATTGGGACAAAATATTTGTGAAGGATATATCTGATTAAGAAGTTATATCCAGAATATATGAAGAACTTTCAAAACTAAAGAAAACAATTCATTTTTTTAATTGGGCAAAAGATTTAAACAAATATTTTACTAAAGAAGATATCCAGATAGCAAATAAACACATGATATTCACCGAAATTATTAATTAGGAAAATGCAAATTAAGATGAATATCATTATATACCTACTAGAATGGCTATATTTTAAAAGTTTGACACTGCCAATTACTGGTAAAGATGCAAATCAGCGGGAACTTTCAAATGTTGCTGGTGGGAATGCAATATGGCACAGCCATTTGGCATTTTCTTATAAACTCAGACCCAGGTTCATGAGCATGAGACCTGTGCAATTGAACAGGGCCTCATGCTCAAAAGAGTCCCATATTCGGCTTAATATTCCACTGTTAGTATCTTGAAATTCTAATAATTTTGTCTCGAAACCTGTATTTTATAAGTAAGGCCTGTTGGAACACTGGACTATGAAATTCGTCTGCCAGTACTTTCTGCCCTGTTTGCATATAGTGTTGGAGATACCCCATGAACACAGAATTCCAAGGGACCCAGTGGTGCCTACAAGTTTAATGAGACTCACAGCTAGCACAAGGTAAACATGTTACAGCTAAGTCTGAGTAAACATAAATACTGATAACCTCTTGAGGCTATGTTTTTTATTTGAACTAGAGTTGTTTCTAATGCAAAAAGAAGACAATGGCATTCTAAGAAACACAAATGAGCAAGGAATCCTATGATATCCTTTCTTATTCCCATTGTTTCCTAGTATTACACAGCTGGTTTTGCTGAAAGTAATGATGCCATAAGTCAAAGGTAGAGAGTGTTGGTAGAATGTGTTGGTAGACTTGAAATAAAAAATTGAGTAAATTTTGTGTAGTGTTTCCACTGTTCTGGTAAGAACAAAATATATGTGCATGTATGAACTACAAAATAAGAATTGTGTGATTTTGGTGATCCTACATAGGAGTTAAATGTACATATATACATTTAAAGCTAGCATTATGCAATATAAAGACGAATGACAAAATTCAGCCTAATAATTTAAAATTTTTCCTTCCTTAGAAAAAATTTTAACTAGCAAATAAAAAATAAAAAACCATGACAAACTGAAAAAAAGACCAAGGAAGAAAGGAAAAAGCTTTATATTTTATATTTTTAATGACACCTTTTTTCTGCTTTTTGAACAAGGGGCTCGTTACATAATGTAGCTGACCCCAAATAAATTACACATACATTTACCATAGACAAGTAAATTCAATTATTGGGCTTCAGTGTAAGGTTGTCAGGAGATAGCCAACCGTATCTTTGGCAGCCCACCAGTTTTTAGTATGAGGTCTTTTCTCTCCTTGATTTCTCTAGGAAGGAAAGCTCCATTCATTCCTTTTCAGGAATGAATTAGTTTGCTTCTTGACTTTCCCAGCTACAGGTACTTAACTTTTAACTTCCTCTGTTCAGCTAAGAAGTCAATTGTTACTTGATCATATGCTTTCCGGTTTTTAACCTATTTTTGACAGTTCTCACTGTTGTTATTTTATCTCTAGTTTTCCTTTTATTTAAGGTTCTAAATTTTTAAAAGTTTATTTCCTGCCATCATTTTTGTGATGTTTGGAAAGGAGAATTGATAAGCTCATATAGGTGTTCTATTCACTATCTTTTACTGGAGATACACACACACACACACACACACACACACACGTATATATATATCCAGTAAATATATATATACATGTATCTATCCAGTAATATATATATATATATTTAAATTTTGGATATCATTGCAAAGATTTTTTTAAATTAATTTTATTTTTTACAGATTCCAATCACTAAAAAAAAAACCCTAAGTATTTTATTAAGTATCTTTTATATAAAACAATACAACTTTAAAAAATAAACAGGACAGGCCCACAGAGATAATAGAACCTGAAAGAAGGATCCATGTCTATAGGAAGAGTAGAGATTATGGCATCTTCTCAGCAGGGAATTCTGCACACCCCACCTCCCTTAGCTGGTTAAAAACGCTGTCTGGTAGCTGGTTATAACTGGAACTGAGTCTGTGGTAGAGATATAAAGTTAGGAGTTATTAACAACTGAAACTAATCAGATTCAATTCCACCCTGGCATCTGCTTATCTCAAGACTCAAACTGGCCATGGGCGACTAAAGACCCTCCTCCAACCTCTTGGTGACTCCTCTGCCCATCCCCCTTGTTTCGTTAACTCCTATTTAGTTTTTCAGACTAAATGTCACCTACTCCAGGAAGTCTTTCCTGAAACCATTCTACTAAGCTAATTTAGGTGTTCTTCCTTACTTCAAGTTATTATTTTCATAATAACTTCAGTTCTCAGGTTATAGGTATATTCTTTATCACTGTATTTACCAAATTATAATTATTTGTAAATATTTCAGGGATCAGCAAACTTTTTCTGTGAAGTTTACAGCAAGTAAATATTTTAGAACTTGTAGGCCAAGAGGGAAAATCAAGGATATTCTGTAGGTACTTATATAACAAAAGAGAAAACAATTTCCCATGATTTTTTTTTGGCAAAAGTAAAATTATAATATTGAGTATTATTTTCATAATACCAAGTATACTAATCAGAAGAATGGAATTATTTTGGTGGGGGATAACATTTTTCTTAATTGGGGTTCAAAGTTAGTGTTCCCTGTCATCAGATTTATCTGTAATATTTACCTGTTTATATTTATCTGTAAAAATAAATTTACCTGTACCTATTTATCTGTAAAAACCATTCTTAGGTCACAAGTCTTACAAAAACATGCAGTGTAGTTTGCTGAGCCTGGATCTATTTAACTATTTGTCTACCATATTTTGAGTTATGGGATTTCTTTTGGGTCTTATTCATCTTTGAATTCCCAGGCAACACACTACCTGGCACATTATAGGTGCTAAGTAACTTTAAACAAGTTTTGTTTTGTTTTGTTTTAAGCAATGAAGATATTTGAGTCTTGGTTATCTCAGACTTTTATCTTGATGGATAGTACTTTCACTTTTTTTCTCAGCTGAAATAAACAGTTTTCTCCTTTTATTTTTGAAATTAAGTACTTTATTTTTCTGGACTTAGGGGTACAAGTACAGTTGTGTTACATGGATATGTTGTGTAGTGGGGAAATCTGGGCTTTTAATGTACCCATCATCTGAATAGTGTGCATTGTACTGAACAGGTGGTATTTCATTCCTCACCCCCTCTCTCACCCACCTACCTTTTGGAATTCCCAGTGTCTATTACTCCATTCTGAATGTCCACGTGTACCCACTGTTTAGCTCTCACATATAAGTGAGAGCATGTGGTTTTTGATTTTCTGTTTCTGAGTCATTTCACTAAGGATAATGGTCTTCAGTCCCATCTATGTTGCTGCAAAAGACATGGTTTTATTCCTTTTTATAGCTGAGCATATTTCATGGTATATATAATACCACATTTTTTTAAATCCCACAGGTAGGTAGGTAGGTAGGTTGATTCCATGACCTTGCTAGTGTGAACAGTGCTATGATAAGCATACGAGTGCAGCTGTCTTTTTTTAAAAATACGATTTAATTTTCTTTGGGTAGATACCCAGTACTGGAATTACTGGATCAAATGGCAGTTCTGTTTTTAGTTCTTTGAGAATTTTCTGTACTGTTTTTCACAGGAGCTGACTTAATTTACATTCCCACCAACAGTGTATAAGTGTTCCCTTTTCTCTGCATCCTCGTCAACACCTGTTGTTTTTTGACTTTTTAATAATAGTCATTCTGACTAGTATAAGGTGATACCTCATTGTGGTTTCAATTTGCATTTCTTTGATGATTGGTGATGTTGAGCATATTTTCATATGTTTATTGGCCGCTTGTATGTCTTTTTTTGATAAGTGTCTGTTCACGTCCTCTGCCTACTTTTTAGTGGAGTTATTTGTTTTTTTCTTGTTGAATTGTTTGTATTCCTTGTAGATTCTGGATATTAGCCCTTTGTCAAATGCATTGTTTGTGAATATTTTCTCTGATTCTGTAGGTTGTCTGTTTACTGCGTTGATTGTTTGTTTTGCTGTGCAGAAGCTTTTCAGTTTAATGAAGTCCCATTTGTCTATTTTGTTGTTGTTGTTGTTGCATTTTTTTTGAAGGCTTAGTCATAAATTCTTAGCCCAGACCAATGTCCAGAAGAGCTATTCCTAGGTTTTCTTTTGGATTTTTATAGTTTCAGGTGTTACATTTAAGTCTTTAATTCATCTTGAGTTAATTTTTATATATGGTGAGAAAGAGAAGTCCAATTTCATTCTTCTGCATATTGCTCTTTAATTATCCCAGCACCATATATTGAATAGAGTATCCTTTCCCCAGTGTATATTTTTGTCAACTTTGTTGAAGACCTGTTGGTTGTAGGTGTGTGACTTTATTTCCGGGTTCTCTATTCTGTCTCATTGATCTGTGTGTCCATTTTTATACTAGTACCACACTGTTTCAGTTATTATAGCCTTGGTTATAGTATAATTTGAAATCAGGTGATGTAATACCTCCAGCTTTACTGTTTTTGCTTGGGATTGCTTTGGCTACTTGGGCCGTTTTTATTTTTGGTTCCATATGAATTTTAGGATTATTTTTTCTAATTCTGTGAAGAATGACATTGGTAGTTTAAAAGGAATTGTGTTGAATCTGTAGATTGCTTTGGGCAGTATTAATGATTTGATTCCTCTAATCCATGACCATTTGATATTTTTCCATTTGTTGGTGTTATCTATGATTTCTTTCAGCAGTGTTTTGTAGTTTTTCTTGTAGAGATTTTTCACCTCATTGGTAAAATATATTTCTGGGTATTTGGTTTATTTGTAGTTATTGTAAATGGAATTGAGTTCTGACTTGGTTCTCAGCTTGATCATTATTGGTATATAGAAATGCTACTGATTTTTATATGTTGATTTTGTATCCTGTACCTTTGCTGAAGTCATTTGTTAAATCTAGGAGTCTTTTGGAGGAGTCTTCAGGGTTCTCTATGTATAAGATTATATCATCAGTGAACAGAGATATTCGACTGTCTCTTTTTCAGTTTGGATGCCTTTTATTTCTCCCTCTTGCCTGATTGCTCTAGCTAGAACTTCCTGTCTTCTCATTTTTATTGCGAAGGTTTACTTTCTGTTACAATAATAATACTTCACATATATTTTAGGAGATGTTGACTATTTTTTCCTTTATGCTATCTTCTTGAGCATCTAACCTTCCCTAAGAAAAAATAAATCACTTTGACATAAACTTCTTTACTGATCTAATTTCATTCTATGATACATTTCTCTTTTAAATTTCTCCGTATGTCAGTGAATCTACTATCAAATGAAATTCAAGATTTTAATAAGTAAATATTTATTTGTATAAATTTAAGGGGTACAAGTACAGTTTTGTTACATAGATATATTACATAGTGGTGAAGTCTGGGCTTTCAGTCATACCATTACCCAAATAGTGTAGATTAAGTACTACTTTGACATTATGCACTACTTTTCCTTTAAGAATTTTCAGCCAGGTGTGGTGGCTCACGCCTGTAATCCCAGCACTTTGGGAGGCCGAGGCGGGTGGATCACCTGAGGTTAGGAGTTCGAGACCAGCCTGACCAATATGGTGAAACCCTGTCTCTACTAACAATACAAAATTAGCCAAGCGTGGTGGTGCATGCCTGTAATTTCAGCTACTTGGGAGGCTGAGGCAGGAGAATCGCTTGAACCTGGGAGGCAGAGGTTGCAGTGAGCTGAAGTTGTACCACTGTACTCCAGCCTGGGCAACAAGTGCAAAACTCCATCTCAAAAAAAAAAAAAATTTAGAACTAATATTTCATACTGAGTTTTCAAGTATGAAAAATTATACTTTTGAATAAGATTTTTATGTACAGTATACAATCTAAGTAATTTTAAAATGCAGTCTTGAAAGATGTACACCAAACTGAATATGATTACCATGGTTTTTTATTTTTGTTTTTGTTTTGAGACAGTTTCATTCTGCCACCCAGGCTGGAGCGATCACAGCTCACTGCAGCCTCAACTTCCCAGGCTAAGGTGATCCTCCCACCTCAGCTGCCTGGGTAGCTAAGACTACTAAGGCATGCACCACCATGCCAGGCTAATTTTTGTATTTCTAGTAGAGACGGGGTTTCGCCATGTTGCCTAGACCGATCTTGAACTTAGGGCTCAAGTGATTCTCCAGCCTTGACCTCCCAAAGTGCTGGGATTATAGGTGAGAGCCACTGCATCTAGCCTGATTACCATGCTTAAGTGAAAAATTAAGGACATTGGTGATGATTAGTTACAATATAGACTACTTTTTTTTTTTAAATGGATTCTCACTCTGTCACTCAGGTTGGAGTGCAGTGGTACTGTGTCGGCTCACTGCAAACTCCGTCACCTGCGTTCAAGCAATTCTACTGCCCCAGCCTCCCGAGCAGCTGGGAATACAGATGCCCAGCACCATGCCCGGCTAATTTTTGTATTTTTTAGTAGAGACAGGGTTTCACCATGTTGGCCAGGCTGGTCTAGAATTCCTGACCTCAGGTGATCCACCTGCCTCGGCCTCCCAAAGTGCTGGGATTACAGGCGTGAGCCACCGCGCCCGGCCTAGACTACTTTTATATCTGGTGAATATAGGAAGGAAACAGGATGCTTCTCTGAAAAGAACTCATATTTTTTTGTGCCCAGTAATTTCCTAAGAGATTCCATCTTAGTCTTTGTTTTCCATAGATCCACTATCATCACACCAACATTATTATCAGGGGTAGTATTTGAGTACTTTTTGGTTCTAATTTCTAGGGATAAAAATAGGAGACATGATCCTTGACCTTGGGAAGAGGGAATTAATATATGCCGTATACCAAGTGAATGGATGGAGGAACAAAGTCAATACCAAATGATAATACAGAAAATACTTGCCAAAAGAGTGCAGGGAAGAGGATGTTCCACAAGGATGTTAATATGTGCAAATCTTTTGGTAGGGAGATGATTGGAAAAGACTTCCTGAAGAGGTAGAAGTTAAACTACAACTTCAAGAAAGGATACCGTCTAGGCAATGGAGAAGTTACAAGAGACTTGGGGGGAAGGAATTGAGCAAAACCATGAAAGTAGAAAGAATGTGAGTATGTGTTCAGGCAACAATGAATAGGCCAGTCTGTGGTGAGCAGGAGTTTTATTTAAGGAAGTAGTTGAAGATACATTTTCAGTGTTAGGAAGGAACGTGATGAGGAAGGACAAGTATAGGAGTTTGATAGTTTACTGCAAAAAAATGATAAGCTGTCAGAGAAATTTAAATAGGAAGATGGAGTTGAGATAAGCACAAAATATTGTATGCAAGCTAAATCTAATCTATTCCTGGGCTGAAGCATTGAATACTGTTAATTATCTTTGCTATATAAATGTGTGCTGCATCTGCTACGTCTGCATACTTTTTCATTGTGCTCTGTTTCCCTTAGCATTATCGAAAAGCTAAATACAATTTAATCACTGATGTTTTAGAGGGACCTTGAAGACCTTTCTGTGACTCAACTATTTGTCCTTTTGTTGGATCAATTATTATATTTTGGATGAATGGAAATACTAGCTTTTAGAGAAAAATTGTGTGTTTGAGAGTAATTTATAGACTACAACGGTGTAAGAAGATATTTTATTAATATTCTATAAATTTAAGATTTGTTCCTGTCTACTCTTAAATTACAAAGTAATACAATGGTGGAATTGGAAACTTTTAGTTCATTTTTACATGGATTTATTCTTTTGAGCAAAGTAGGAAATGAGGATATGTATGATGTGAGAATATACTCAGTATTTCAGCAATAAAAATATATTGTTCTGAGCTGTTTTTAAAAGTGAATTCATATATAGATAAGTTTGATTTGCTTAATGTGTTGTTAGTGTACAGTAGGAGGCGGACTCATCTTCCCTCTCCCCAGCACCTCACATTCTGAGTGAACATGGGAGCCATCTGGCTGCCACATTTGCACCCAGCTGCACTCTCAACAGGAGTGGTATATGTAAGAAGTCTCACAGAAGCCCATTTGTAAGGTTAGACTTCCTCCTGCTAGTCTAGATAAGTTCTCGAGATGCCAAATCATTAAGCACAGTTTCCAGTGTGGGAGGCCCTTGAACTTCCCCCGCCATCTCATGCTTGAATAAATGCAGATTGTTCCACGAGCCTAAGCAAATACTCTATTGCGTTACTCTCCAGAGTAGCTTGAGATTGTACACTTGAAGAATTCCTCCCCAAGACTATCTTGCTATACTGAAAATGCACCCTTTTCCGAGCTTTGAGGTCTAAATCCAGCCTAAAGAATATTTGCCGGTTTCACCTCCTTAAAAAGGTGGTAGAAAAGGAGGAAGGGGTATCTCCTCATGGCGCTATATGTGCATGGGATCACACAGATTTCTCTCCATTGCAGAGTGGAGAGTGCAAGAATTGGATTCATTTGGTGGTGTCTGTGCATGTCTCCATTCATAGGCAAATAAATGTTTTACACAACTGTTCCTTATCTTCTTTCTTTGGTTGGCTTGCATTCCTTTTCAGTTGTATACTATATCTTAAGAGATGGGAGAGGGAAAGATGTCAATGAGGAAGCAAGCAAGAGGCTCTGAAACAAGCTGCTTTTGGAGAGGCAACTTCTGTACTACTAATGGTTTTGGTCCTTTTCCTCTTCTTTTGCATTTCTTTTTCAAAACACCATACATCCAATGCCTTTCCATGGCCAGGAGACTGTTCATCTCAAAAGCTATACAAACCTAGGCAAAGCTATGCAAAAAAGAAGTAGTTTAGATGTACAGTAGCCCCTCTTATCAATAGTTTTGCTTTCCACAGTTTTAATTACCCATGGTCAACTATGGTCCTAAAATAGTAAATGGAAAATTCCAGAAATAAGCAATTCATAAGTTTTGGGCCAGGCGTGGTGGCTTATGCCTGTAATCCCAGAACTTTGGGAGGCCGAGGGTGACTGATCACCTGAGGTCAGGAGTTCGAGACCAGCCTGGAGAAAATGGTAAAACCCTGTCTCTACTAAAAATACAAAAATTAGCCGGGTGTGGTGGCATGCACCTGTAATCCTAGCTACTTGGGAGGCTGAGGCAGGAGAATCGCTTGAATACGGAAGGTGGAGGTGGCAGTGAGCTGAGATCACACCACTGTACTCCAGCCTGGGTGACAGAATGAGACTCCGTCTCAAAAAAAATAATAATTTAAGTTTTAAACTGTGCATTCTTAGTAGCATGATGAAATCGCATGCTGTCCAGCTCCATCTGGCCTGGGATGTGAATGTCCTCTTGTCCAATGTATCCACACTGTATATATTACCCTCCCATTAGTTACTTAGTAGGTCTCTTGATTATCAGAGAAGAAAACAAAAAACATACTATATATATGATTCAGTACTATCCGTGGTTTCAGGCATCTACTGGAGGTCTTGGAATGTATCTCCCAAGGACAAATGGGGAGGACTACTATATTAGGTAATCAGAAAAATTACTCCAATCCTAAATGGGCCTAGATACCACAAACATAAAAGATGAAAAGTAAACAGATACTTCATCCCATAAATCTGGTAATTTAATTATCTGGGTATAAATAATGCTGCTACTTTGAACAAATTCTTTTTCAAATATTCTGATTTCTTTTCTCTCCTGGAATTTTCACAATGATTTCACCTGCTAACCTCAACATCATTTTTTTTTACCTCCCTCATATTTTGTAAATGAATTGTTATGTTGGCAATCAAAAGTTTCCTGTAAGTAAACTATAAATCAAGATACTATTATGAATAAAATTCCTTTCTTCCATATTAAATTTAAGCCCCACTTCTTTCAGTTTACAAAGGTTTCCATGACTTTTATCTCTACCTACATATTTGCTCTCTTCTCATGCACACTTGCTTTTTCCTCTCATTGTAATTATTCAACATCGCACAAATATTTACTAAGTGCTCAATATATATAAGACACATACCAAGGGTTATGTAGGAGTTTTTATGTGCTTGTAAGGAGGAAAGAAATAAACATAACAATACAAGGTAGTATTTGACTGGTACCTTAAGAGTTATACAAAGAAGGAGCTTAAAGCATTTAGATGACAGAGAGCAGTTTCAGCTGGAGGAATTCTGGTTAGGAATTCTGGTTATGGAAGAAGTGGCATATGAATATTACCTTAGATGGGTAGGATTTCAACAGAGAACATTCTAAACACAGGCAGCAGTGTAATCCACTGTAGAAATATGGGAAAGTGTGTAGTGTATATTAGACAATGATTTGCAACATAGTTTAACTTACAGTATGTGTGGGGATAGTGCAGCAGGTAAAGTTGTTTTTTTTTATTTTTATTTTTTTGAGACAGGGTCTTGTCCTGTCACCCAGGCTGGAGTACAGTGGCTGGATCACAGCTCACTGCAGCCTCGACTTCCCAGACTCAAGCAATCTTCCCACCTCAACCTCCCAAGTAGCTGGGACTACAAGCATCGGCTACCATTCCTGGCTAAATTAATTAATTTATTTATTTACTGAGATAAGGTCTCCTTATGTTGCCCAGGCTGGTCTCGAACTCCTGGGTTCAAACAGTCTTTCTGCCTTGGCCTCCCAAAGTGCTGGGATTATAGGTGTGAGCCACTGTACCCAGCCTAGCAGCATGTAAAATTGATGAGTAGATTGGCATCTGATGTTAGGAGCATTGATGCTGAGGCTAGATTAACAATTAAAACTTTATTCCAAAAGTATTAACCCTTGAACTATTTTATTTATTAATTTTTTTGATAGGCTCTTGCTCTGTCACCCAGGCTGGAGTGCAGTGGCATGATCACAGCTCACTGTAGCCTCCACCTCCTGGGCTCAAACAATCTTCTTGGGGTTTCCCTATGTTGCCAAGGCTGGTCTTGAACGCTGGGGCCCAAGGGATCCTCCCGCCTTGGCTTCCCAAAGTACTAGAATTACAGACATGAGCCACCATGCCTGGCCCAACTCTTGAACTTTTTGAACAGGATAGTTATGCAATCAAAGTAGAAGTTAGAAGTAAGAGTCAATTTAGAAAGGATCGAGTGGGGATATTTACCAGAGATGGGAAAGCCTTTCAGGGGAGAACAGTAGTGATCCAAGAAGGAAGTGGTAAATGTCCAAATTAAGATGATAAAAATTAGAATAGGGAAAAATGAATGATCCAACAAGAATTGCAAAAGAAGAAACAGTTTATATTTCTTCCAACTAGATTGTCTGTTTTCTGGGAGCAAGTCCTCTGTCTGCTTCTTGTCTCCCCAATACACTGTACATTGCTTGACATAGAAAAGTGTTTTATAATGAATAAATAACCTCCTTAATTATCTGTTTCATCTACTTTCATATTGTCTGCTTTTAAGTAATTAAGTCTTAACAATTAGACTATTACTCAATCACCTTCTCTTCTCATTTCTCCCTCATATATATAGAGAGAGCCAGCACAGCTAATTTTTCATAAGAAACAGATCTCAATAACACCAGAATAGTTCTTCATTCACTGTAAATCAACAAGGGAAGCAAGAATGAACAGTTGATTGTAGATAAGAGGAAGGAGGTTTTGGAGAATTGCTCTCAGTAAGAAATGAAAGAGCTTTTGAAACTAGGTTCAAATAATGTCGAAAACACATGAGAGTCTGGACTATTAACACATTATAGAATAATTTTTTGAAATACTACCACTACTTCTAATAAGCATTATATTACTCACATTTTAGCATAAGAACTTATAATACACAGCAACTGACAGAGTCTTGCAGGACAGGGATCCCCATCCCCCAGGCCATGGATCATTATGGGTCCATGGCCTGTTAAGAACTGGGCTGGAGCATTACCACCTGAGCTCTGCCTCCTGTCACATCAGCAGTGGCATTAGATTCTCATAGGAGCATGAACCCTACTGTGAACGGTGCATGTGAGGAATCTAGGTTGTACACTCCTTAGGAGAATCCAATGCCTGATGGTCTGACATGAAATAGTTTCATTCCCCCTACTCCCGCATTCATGGAAAAAATTGTTTTCCACAAAACTGGTCCCTGGTGCCAAAAAGGTTGTGAACTGTTGACCTAGGAGATTGAACAGGGATTGTAATACATGTGAGCAGGATTTCCTATGCTTTGCTCTATTTCTGACATGGACTCTATAGTGGCAAACACGCTTCATTCCTTGCACAGCTCATTAAATATATTTCATCATGTCCTAGGACTGCACAGGAAAGAATCCATTAACTGTATGAAAATGATTTTAAGTCTCTTTATTTTGAACTGAGAATAATGTCCCAAGATTCCTATCCTGGGGTCAAAAAGGATTATTGCACAGTTTTTGCCTCTGTTTTGCAATGCTAAGTTTATAGCTTACTGCATCACTTAAATAAGGGAATTGCCAATGTATTACTACTTAACTACTTTAGATTAGCTGTTAGAGAGATAAGGGTGATGAATGGTGCTTAGCCCCAGTGGCGAAATTGACCTGGTTTCACGCTTTCAGATAGAACCAGCAGGTTTATCAACTACTCCCTAAAATAAATATTTGGGAGTATGTGACAAAGGAGTGTAACTAATTCTATACAAACCTTTAAACAAGAATTCCATTATAAGTTGCAATAAATATTGAAAGAAGATAGATCTCTTATTTGAAAACTGTCTTCTAAGGCAAATACAGCATATTTCCATTTTAAAAAGAAGAGATTATTTTGTAACATCCAACCTGTAGGGGCACACACTGGTAGACTTTGGAAAATACTGAAAATATCCACCAATTGAGGTTTGCTAACGAGTCTCACTCTGACTCTGAACCTTGGAGTAAATTATTTTTCTATATTGAAAAGTCTTGTCATTTTCGTTAAAGTGCGTTTGTATGTTTACATATAAAGTAATGTGTGTAAAATTTAACAACTTTAAGTTCACCATGATTTAATTTAGCAGAATTTTGAAGCAAAATGGTTACTGCTGAAATTAAATGATTAGTAATATTCTATTTTTATTTTATTTTTTGTCTTTACAATACAACATGATATTTAGTGATTAGTAATATCCTAAATTAAAAAAAATTGACTGGTTTTATAAGGAAGGTGAGTGACTATTTTCTTTTCTTTTTTTTTTTTTTGAGACAAAGTCTTGCTCTGTTGCCAGGCTGGAGTGCAGTGTTGCAATCTCGGCTCACTGCAATCTCTGCCTCCCAGGTTCAAGCGATTCTCCTGCCTCAGCCTCCCCAGTAGCTGGGATTACAGACACGTGCCACCACACCCAGCTAATTTTTGTATTTTTAGTAGAGACGGGGTTTCACCATGTTGGCCAGGATGGTCTCGATCTCTTGATCTCCTGACATAGTGATCCTACTGCCTTGGCCTCCCGAAGTGCTGGGATTAGAGGCATGAGCCACCACGCCTGGCCGGTGAGTGACTATTAAGACTAAAACAAAATATTTAAGTAGTATAGTTTGAAAACTGAAGGTATATTTTTGCCTTTCCTCTCTTCACCCTTTCCTGAAATGTAATCTTTGCATTGCATTTTATACAAATTATCCAAAATAGAGCAGGGGAAACAAGAGAGTTCATTGTGGAGAAAGAGAGACTATTTGCTGGTATTATTATTGAGTACAATTTAATAGAGTAAGGTATCATAAGAAAACCAAACAGCATAAGGAATCCAAGCTTGGAATAAATCTTAAAACAGAGATATCTCTCAATAGCATCTTCACCTAGACAAGGCAAATTAAACATAATTTTTTAAATTATAGGATTTTTAGATTTTTTTTTTTTGGAAAGATAGCCTTATCTCCTCCAAAAAAGTTGCTAGTCACGTAGGGTATAGAACAGCAAAACCGTTGGATTTGGTTAAACCTAAACATAAATTTTTGGGGATGTCTCAAGAAGAAAAGGAAAAATAATGTATATTATTTTTCATTTTGCTTCAGTAGCAGACATTTGCCATTGAACTCCAATGGAAAAAAATATGCAAGTTTACTTTAGCCATTAACATGAGGTATAATGCAATAGCAGAGAAACTAGTTGTAACTGGATTTATAGCAGGTCTTCAGTTCACAAAGAACACAAGCCTGAACAAGCCATCATGAGTCACTTAATGAGGTGGTATCATAATAATATTACCATCAAGATTTCTAGGTGAATGGCTTCCGTGGACCCTAGAATGTCCCCATGAATGATCTGATACAGCATGCTACACATTTCTGGAAAGTTTTTTTTTTTTTTCCTGAAAGTTTTATATCTAATTGCAAGTAATGCATACTCTAATTTCTTCAGGGTACCAACCTGTACATTTAGTTGCAACATGTCAAAATTATGTCAAAAATTCATTTTGTAGCAAAGAAGAAAGCAATAAAATAAATTCTCAAAGAGGCAATATAAACTTCTCAGAGTGAAAAAGTAATTCAACTTAGCAATGTTGCTAAACAAGAAACATTTTCTGTTGAGAATGTTGAAACATTGATACTGATAGGAAAGAGAAATGAAGACGCCAACAACATGTTTATCTGTGAGCCGTTTTGAAGCTCACACTAAATGTGTCTCTGATTTATTCTACGTCATTGGGCAAATCTCATACTAATCTCTTTTTGTCTCCATTTCCTCAACTATAAAGAGGGAATAATAATACCAACCTGCCTCAGAGGGGTGTGGTGAGAATTAATTAAGGCCCATAAAGAGTTTCGAAGGCCAAAGATGAAAGACAGCATACTAAGTACAAAGCCTCGTCTTTAGCACTGAATTTGATGGAATATAAAAACTTGTCTATTGATGGAAAATTTCTCAAACATCAAATAAGAATATACTTTCTTGAATTTATGTGACTTAAATTTATGAATTTGTTCATAAATGTGTTTTATTTAGGTATCCTATATTTAATTTTTCAGCCTGGGCTAATAGAAGAGAACACTAATTTGAAAATTAAAATTATGGCCAGTTAAAATTGAAAATATGTATTTTTAATTTACTTTTTGTTTCACCTCTGTATGTATTAGTAAACTAATTAGGTGTTTGTTGCAGAAGAATGACAGACTAGAATTGCTTCTTGGGGGTACATAAAAGAATAAACCATTTAATTTCTTGCAACCATTTAGCATCAATATACCAATGATTCAGTTTAGAATAAAGATATTATTAACTTCTACCTAAGTCAGGGCACTAAATGTGGGAAAGTATGTTTCTCTAAACTACCTGAATTTAGGAGCCAACAGAAGGAGTGTATATAAAAACAGAAATTTCATTTTCAGAAATATGACTCCTGTTGCACTCCCAATGGCATACGGAGTTTCTTGAGTGCTAACTGACTAATATGAAAACAGAAAATATTATGATGAGTCAGTCACCTCTACACTCTATATTAGGAAAAAATATTAGTTGCCTACTTTTGGCTGAAACTAAACAGTATTTTGGTGTCATTAAATACAACATCTAGTGCTGAGGAAATGAACAATTTACCCTTCAAAATATTATTAAATTTATCAGTAATTTGTAAATGATTACAACTAGAGCCAGTAAGATTCTTGATATATTATTTCCTAATTGATTGCTCAGTTGGACAAAATCTTGGATGACATAAATTAACAATGAAACTGTTGTGCCTTAGAGTTCTACTTTTCTTAGATTTTAAAAAAATACACTAGTTTTTAGTGACAGTCAGTAGTCTTTCCTTATGTCAGTACATGGGAACAATTCATTACTGATGTTTATTTTGCCTTGGGTTGGGCTGTAAAAGTACTCTATAATAACATAACTTGGGAGGTTGTTATTTTATTATATCTTACACTGGTTGTGGTCAAGAAAAAGAGACTGGAAAACAGGAAGTAATATATCTTTACAACATTTACCATTGCCATTTAACAAAAGATTTAGTTTCACTTCAGTTAGAATTTCACTAATGGTCCACTTCATATTTCTTTTTTACTCATTTTTTTTTAATCCCAAATTTTGAATGTAAACATTAAATGTCAAGATTGATAGCCATGGAATTAACCAGCTTAATTTTGGTTAGAAGATGAATGATTCACTGCTTTCTTGTCTGAAGAGTAGGAAGAGCATTGTATTTAAAATGGCTCTGTCCCAGAGGGCAAATCTTATGGGTTTCACTGCCCAGCCCACTCAGAAAAATAAAACTTGGGGAAGTTACAACAGAATATAAACTGAGCATGGAATTGTAAGGACATCTTAGAACCTGTTTTCTTGCCAGTGCTATAAAAATGGTTCTCATTTTTCACATTATTAAATTTAAAATTTTAAACATTTTAAGATTCTAGGAGATACTTTCCAGGTTATCATTTGGTTTAGTTACCCTTTTTCATCTAAGACTCGAAAGGGCTCCACGAATAAATAAACATATTTTTCCTTTGCTCAGCATTTAATTCTTTTTGCAATCACAGCTCTGTATTGTGTGAAACAAAAATATTTCTCTTTTCTCTGGTATTTGTTTTATGTATTATTTCTTTTAGTTGACAGAAATAAACTGTTTTCTTCCCAGTGAGTGAATCAGCAATTAGTTTGCAGGTTCCTCTGCCTCAATATGATCTAAAAACATTTCTCTATTTGTGCTAAATATTACATAAAGGTAATTTTTAAAATTCTTTTAGGTGCACATGTGTTATATTTTCTTATGTCAAACAATAAATGAGTAAGGCTTATTATGATATCTAGAATTTTGTAAAAAAAATAAAGCATTTCATTTAATAAAATTCAACAAAGATGTATTCAGAATGTTTTACCTGTGAAGGAGGAGAGATGAATATGAATAAAAGTTCTTTGTCCTCAGGGAATTTGATTTACTAGGGTACCTGATATAGATAACTCATATTTTCTCAAATTTCATCAACCTATGGATACAGAACAGGTTCCATTAAATTAAAAACATATATTACATTGCTAGCATGAATTGTTCCCATCCTTCTTCAGGAATTGTTTATAGCCCCTCATTTCCCACCTATTTCTGAAACGGCACAGGAGGTGTTTGGTCAGTTTGATTAAATGACCAGATAAAATGCAATGGACTGTAAAATGTTATGGCTCAAACCATTGAAATTCATACTCTAAACAGATTATAATCTTACTAGCTAAAAGTCATTCATGAGGATCTTCAAATTAAACCACTTTATTAATGAGCTTCCTGATATTATAAGGAATGGTGTGGATGGTAATATATTTATATCTAGTCAAATGGTCACATTCTTTATTTTCCTGACTCTGAGGGATGCAAGAACAAATCATAGGTGCTCCTCAACCTTAATTTATCTAATTGTTTCAATATTCTCCTTTACCCAACTTCTTACACTTTTAATAAGGAACAAATTTAAAGTTGTTTTCTTTCCTATGCTATAGCTCATTATATTTATTTAAATAACCAAAATAAAGATAGTCAAGGAAAGAAAGATTCAAATAATAAAATGTGTATACTATACAATATACAAAACATGCAGAATACCAGCATTTGGTTGCTCAAGAATTTATTTCAGGCTAAAGCATCCAGTGAATCTTGACTTGATATAAGAAAGTAAGTTATTCAGCCAATAAGCATTTATTCAACCATATTCAAGACATTCTGCTAGGCACCCCAAATAAAAAAACCTATAATCCCTACTTTCCTTTTTTTTGAGATGGAGTCTCAACTCTGTCACCCAGGCTAGAGTGCAGTGGTGCGATCTTGGCTTACTGCAACCTCCGCCTCCTAGGTTCAAGCAATTCTCCTGCCTCAGCCTCCAGAGTAGCTGGGACTACAGGCACCGGCCACCGCGCCCGGCTAATTTTTGAGTTTTTAGTAGAGACAGGGTTTCACCATATTGGTCAGCCTGGTCTTGAACTCCTGACCTCGTGATCCACCCACCTCGGCCTCCCAAAGTGCTAGGATTACAGGCATGAGCCACCGTGCCCGGCAGATCCCTACTTTTAAGGAACTTAGTTTAATGGAAAAGGCAAACACATGAATAAACAAATTGAATACACAGAAATAAGCACTATTGTCCAGTCTAGGAAAATTAGGGATGGCTTGACAGAGAAGATGAACTTTGGATAGTCTAGAAGACAGAATGAGAATTTGTTATATACAGAAGAGGAAGAAAGGGCATCTGAAGAAAAGAAGACAAAATTTGCAAAGGCATAGAGTTTTGAAAAGATATATGAGAAGTTCATTGTGGTTTGGAGCTTAGGGCTGTGGTGGGGAGTGGAAGGAAATGAAATTGGAACACTAAATTGGGGTTACATCATGAAGGGCATTGTGCCCATACAAAAGAGCTTGGCTTTTATAGGGCAGCTAGTGGAAAATCAGGGGAAATTGTTAAATAAAGGGGAGGGTGTAATCATATTTGTTTGGTAAGAAAATAATGATGTTAGGAATGTAAAAGATGGATTATAGGAGAGATTGATGGGGGAGGGACCAGATAGGACAATGTGGCAATAATCTAGGACAGAAATCGTAAGAGCCTGAATTGAATTAGTGGCTGAGGAAATAGGGAAGAATGGTCAGATTTTTTATATATTTCTGAAATAAAATTGACACAATTTGGGTGTGGGTGGTAAGAGGGACACTCCAGATGAATTTTTTACTTGGGAAACTTGAGGATGTTGATTCCATTAACCTTGATGGGAAAGTTGGGAATATTTAGGAGTATAATTACTCCAGTCTTCTTTTTTAAAAAATGTATTAGGTTCAAGTGCCCTTGTGATAGCCAAATTAACTAGCATTTGAAAAAGCTGGTCTGGAACTTGAAGATAGGTTAGAATTGGAGATACAGTCTTGGGAACTATAAGCAGTAGCTTTTAGAATATGAATGAAATAATATATCTAAAAATGTAAAACGAACATACCACCAAGGATGAAACCCTGGAAGAATCAGCATTTAAGAGTGTCCCTTATTTATTTTCAACCCATGCCTCATTTTGAAAATATAAAAATCTCAGCCCACCTATAATCATGTCAGTTCAAATCTTTCCCGTTAAAGGCCCATGACTACCCCCTCGTCCTGCCTTCTCCTCCCCTTTCTGTCTTTTAAGAATTTCTGTCACTGGACATGGTGGAATGTGCCTGTAATCCTAGGTACTTGGGAGGCTGAGGTAAGAGAATCTCTTGAGCCTAGGAGTTTGAAGCCAGCCTGGGCAACATAATAAGACTCTGTCTCTTAATAATAAAAAAAAATTCTAAAAAAAAAAAAATTAAGAAGTGGTCTGAAGAGAAGGAACTATTAAAGAAAACTGTGGGGCACTTAGAGAAGTAGAAGGAAAATAAGGGGTAGATGACATCCTGGAAAACAAGGTCATGTTAACATCACATCACTACCCCAAACCCTGACCAAATCCTACAAATTGAATGTAGGCACTTCCCCTCCTCACAGAACTGGGTAGAATGGGTGACTTGGATGTCTGTACTCAACAGAGCATCCAAGTTTGAGTCCTTCACCTCCCTTAAGTTCCCCCAGCATACCTGAAAGTGCACACGTAGCTTTTGTTCCCCCTTGGGGACAGGGAGACCCTGACCCCACCTTCCTCTTTTAAGCAGCTGGGATAAGGGCAAAAGCAATGGTGGGAGGAATCTGGGGCTATGTAAGGAGAGAGTGGCTTCATGTCAGTAAGCAAAGCATATTTTCTTTCCAGTTTGAGTGACCCAGAGGCTGTTCATGGTACAACCAAAACTAATTTTCAAAGTTTTCAGATGATCCAAGCCCTCTCTCAGCTTTGTGGGCTCTTTTATCCTTTCTCCTCCCTTCCAGAGGAGAGTGAACAACAACTAAAACACCATTTAGATTATTTATTTCAATCTTATCTCTTGCTGCTCAGACTCTAGACATTCATGAACAGGTAGAGCAGTGGGAGACCCTCACACTTCCTAAATGCCCTTGCCTACCACTACTAGGTATTTACTACTAGGTAAATACTTCCCTGGGGAGTCTTCTCATAAATTCTAACTCAGTTCTTAGGATCCCTTATTCTTTCTCTTTCAAAAAGCCATGTCTGTCAGCATCCTATTTTTGTTGAAAAAAGTTTTCAAGTAAGCTGCCACGGTTTTATGGATGCCGGCAGAAGACATGAAGACTCCTGGGTCAGAGTAAAAAGACTTAATTACTCATAGGACAACAGGCAGCATGAACTTCGTGTTCATACCGTTCATGCCCCTACAAGTCTCATGGATGTGATGTGTGGAAGCCCGGGTGAAAGCTGCACGTGCAGTGGGTTAGTATCACTGCTGAGGGACCCTGAGCATAGGAAACCTTAATAAATTATCGGGGAGCTGCAAGCAAACCTATCTAAACTTTGCCTTGGAGGGAAACATTATCTTAATTATACTGGGCAGCAAACAAACCTGCCCTCTGCTCTAAAAAGAGACACTCTCTTTTTCCAAAATTGTTCTCTATAAAAATATCCTTGAAAAAATAATCCAGAAAAAAAGCTAGTACTTCTCACACAATGTGCAGAAATGCAAGAGACCCACAGAGGATTGTCTCCCCACAAGTAGGTTCTGCATATTCTTTCCTTTTTATTTTATTCTATTCCTTCCTTCCTTCCTTCCTTCCTTCCTTCCTTCCTTCCTTCCTTCCTTCCTTCCTTTCCTTCCCTCCCTCCCTCCCTCCCTCCCTCCCTCCCTCCCTCCTTCCTTCCTTCCTTCCTTCCTTCCTTCCTTCCTCTCTTTGAGACAGGGTCTCACTCTGTTGCCTGGGCTGGACTACAGTGGTGCAGTCTTGGCTCACTGCAGCCTGCACCTCCTGGGCTCAAGCAGTCCTCCCACCTTAGCCTCCTGAGTAGCTCAGACTACAGGGATGCACCTCCACGCCTGGCTAATTTTGTTTATTTTTTGTAAAGACGAGGTCTTTCTATGTTGCCCAGGCTGTTCTTGAATTCCTGAGCTCAAGAGATCCTCCCGCCTCGGCCTCCCAAAGTGCTGGGATTACAGGCATGAGTTACCATGCCTGACCTCTTTCTCCCTGTCTTAACTGGCCCCCCTTTTATATTTTTTATTTTCTCATCTTTGTTTCTTTTTAAAATATAATTTAATCCATTCAAATTATTTTTAATAATAGGCATTCTCTAATGAAAAAAATCAGCAGAAATAAATATCTACCTTTAATCCTATGAAAATAAAATTCAGGTTCAAACTGTTATGGCAACAAATAGTTGCAAGAAAATATTTAGGAAAAAGAAAACTCATGGCTGGGTGCAGTGGCTTACGCCTGTAATCCCAGCACTTTGGGAGGCTGAGGCAGGTGGATCACTTGAGGTCAGGTATTCGAGACCAGCCTGGCCAGCATGGGGAAACCTTGTCTCTACTAAAAATACAAAAATTAGCCAGGTGTGGTGGTGCCCTCCTGTGATTCCAGCTACTGGAGAGGCTGCGGCAGGAGAATCACTTGAACCTGGGAGGTGGAGGTTGCATGAGCCAAGATCGCAGCACTGCACTCCAGCCTGGGTGATAGAGTGAGACTCCATCTCAAAAAGAAAGAAAGAGAGAAAGAGAGACAGAGAGAGAGAGAGAGAGAAAGAAAGAGAGAAGAAGGAAGGAAAGAAGGAAGGAAGGAAGGAAGGAAAGATGGAAGGAAGAAAACAAGGAAGGAAGTAAACTCATGTTATTCTTTGAAGAGTATACTTTATCAGCTTTAATGAAAATTGTAAATTAGGAATGATCTTGACAAAATTTTACTCACTGGTTATGCTTAGTTAAAATTAAGCATTGAGTAAAGGCAGTTCCTAAAATCACAGCCAAAATTCTTTCATCTCATTTTGCCTAGTTTCATTGGCAAAAAGCAAAACAAAATTTTAAAACTTGACATTACTGCATTCAGCATATGATGTGATCATTAAATAGTGGAAAACACACATTTCTTTAAAGTAATGTAAATGAAGTGGTTTCATTTGAGGGGCTAACACATATACATATGCAGTTTGGTTAACTACCCATCCTTTTTACTATAAATATTAGAAGAGTGAGGTCAGACTCTACAAATTGCCACAAATCTTGATGTCTGTAATGCACTATGGGTGGCATTATTGTGTTCACAGAGTTCTTCTTTAATTTCAGGCAAACAGGATGATTTTACTTATCTGTCTCCTTGAAGTTAGACTAGCTTTAGCTCATGAAATGTGTGCCCAAGTGATGTACGTCACTTTCAGAAGAATGCATTTATTACCAATGTTCAATTGCCCAGCCTATTCTTCCCCTGCCAGGGTACTTGTGGAAGCATGTGCTGATGAGGAGGTGCCATAATACCAAAATAGCCTAGAAGGTGGACCAACACACGGAGGAATATGAGCCTCAAGGGACTTTATGTGAACAAGAATTAAATTTTGGTTAAGCCCATGACATTTGGAGGTTTTTGTGTGTGTGTATTTTGTATTTACTTATTTATTTGTTTTGAGACAGAGTCTTGCTGTGTTGCCCAGGCTGGGGTGCAATGGCATGATCTTGGCTCACTGCAACCTCTGCCTCCCAGGTTCAAGTGATTCTCCTGCCTCAGCCTCCCTCCCGAGTAGCTGGGATTTCAGGTATGCACCACCACACCTGGCTAATTTTTGTATTTTTAGTAGAGACGGCATTTCAACATGTTTCCCAGGCTGGTCTCCAGCTCTTAACCTCAAGTGATCTGCCTTCCTCAGCCCCACAAAGTGCTGGGATTACAGGCGTAAGCCACTGTGCCTGGCCTGGAGTTTTTTTTTTTTTTTTTTTTTTTTTTTTTTTTTTTTTAACTGAAGCTCTGCTTAGCCCTTCTGATTAATATAATGCTGCTGCAGCTTTTTAATTGTTGCAAACTGAATGCCAAATTAGCCCTGTGGATCTAGCACACCAAAAATATACAACGGTTCATTGTCATACTTTAAGGGCGTTGAATCTCCCTGTGAGATCCAGATTCCTCGGGGAGTATGGCTAGTAGTTCTATATGTATGTGCTTCCATGTCCTGAATGAAGTAGTTCACTCTTGGGTATAAGCCCTGAAGGTTTGAGATAAAGATGTCTCTTAGTATAAATTTGCATGGAGAAGTTTCTTGTCTTTGAAGCAGATGGTAAATCTATACACCTGGAAGTCATGGTTACTTGAAAGCTATCCTTGAAAGGTATTGATACATAACAACTTACAGATCACTTGTAAGATTTATTTTCTGGCCTGAAAAATTCCTAGAAACCTGACTTTTAAGGTATAATGTGACTTATGTTGTCTTTCTCCTCTCCTCTCCTTTCTTCCCTTATTGTTTTGTTTGTTTGTTTGTTTATTCTTAGAAACAGGGCCTTGTGCTGTCACCCAGGCTGGAGTACAATGGCACAATCATAGCTCACTATAACCTCAAACTCCTGGACTCAAGGGATCCTCACACCTCGGCCTCCTTAAAGTGTTGGGATTAAAGGCATGAGCCACCGTGCCTGGTCTAACATGCTCTTCATTAATAGGAAAGTATATCTAGGGAAATTATTTTGTTTCAATAAACAGCCTGTTTATAAAGTCTACAGTAGTGTACAGTAATGCCCTAAGCCTTCACATTTAGTCACCACTCACTCACTGACTCACTCAGAGCAACTTCCAGTCCTGTAAGCTCCATTCATGGTAAGTGCCCAATATAGGTATACCCTTTCTTATCTTTTTATATGGTGTTTTTACTGTATCTTTTCTATGTTTAGATACACAAATACCATTGTGTTACAATTCCCTACCATATTCAGTACAATAACATACTGTGCAGGTTTGTAGTGTAGGAGCAATGGACTATACCATACAGCCTAGTTGTATAGTGGGTTATACCATTTAGATTTGTGTAAGTACTCTCTATGATGTTCAGACAAGGACAAAATTGTCTTAACAATGCATTTGGAAGGATATATCCCTGTCCTTAAGTGATGCCGGACTGTATTTTGAATACTTTATTTTTAATAATTGAAACTTTGGATAATTTCTATCACGATGATAAGATATGGTTAAAATTACAGTTTTTATTTTTACTTGATGTTTAATAATATATAAGCTTTTATATTTTACATATATTAAATATTTTTACTGGCTTTTTAAAATTAAAATACTGCATTAATATTGGTATTTTAGTATTCCATGAAATAAACAGTGAATTATCAGTAATATTTTCATTTTGCTCTAGAATGGGAATCACTAAATCATAACAGTGAAAACGTATATTTAGTCGGGCCTTACAGTGTTACAAAAATATAAAGTCATTTTAAAGGAACCAAAATCTATTCAGAATGTGTTTAGTCTTTCCATATCACAGAGCTATACGAGATGTCCTTCTAAGCTGTCTTATTGTTCATAGTGTGCAAGTTGTGGTCTAGTGGAATCTCAAAATCACCAGGGTCAGAGTGGCACTGAGAGTACCTGCATTAGTCTGTTCTCACACTGCTATGAAGAAACACCTGAGCCAAAGTATATAAAGAAAAGAGGTTTAATTGGCTCATGGTTCCATGGGCTATACAGGAAGCATGATGGCCTTTACTAACTTTCAATCATGGTGGAAGGCAAAGGGGAACCTATCACTAGGAGGATGGTGATAAACCATTAGAAACCAACCCAATGATCCAGTCACCTCCCACCAGACCCCACCTCCAGCCCTGGAGATTATAATTCAACATGAAATTTAGTGGGGACAGAGATCCAAACCATAGCAGTTATCTACTATTGTGTCCGGAATTGGTGGGTTCTTGGTCTCACTGACTTCAGGAATGAAGCTGTGGACCCTCGTGGTGAGTGTTACAGTTCTTAAAGGTGGCATGTCCGGAGTTTGTTCGTTCTGATGTTCGGATGTGTTTGGAGTTTCTTCCTTCTGGTGGGGTTCGCGGTCTCGCTGGCTCAGGAGTGAAACTGCGGACCTTTGTGGTGAGTGTTACAGCTCTTAAGGCAGCGCGTCTGGAGTTGTTTGTTCCTCCCGGTGGGTTCGTGGTCTCGCTGGCTTCAGGAGTGAAGCTGCAGACCTTCGCGGTGAGTGTTACAGCTCATAAAAGCAGTGTGGACCCAAGCAGTGAGCAGCAGCAAGATTTATTGCAAAGAGTGAAAGAACCAAGATTCCACAGTGTGGAAGGGGACCTGAGCGGGTTGCCACTGCTGGATCAGGCAGCCTGCTTTTATTCTCTTGTCTGGCTCCACCCACATCCTGCTGATTGGTAGAGCCGAGTGGTCTGTTTTGACAGGGCGCTGATTGGTGCGTTTACAATCCCTGAGCTAGACATAAAGGTTCTCTAAGGCCCCACCAGAGTAGCTAAATACAGAGTGTCGATTGGTGCATTCACAAACCCTGAGCTAGACACAGGGTGCTGATTGGTGTGTTTACAAACCTTGAGCTAGATACAGAGTGCTGATTGGTGTATTTACAATCCCTTAGCTAGATATAAAGGTTCTCCACATCCCCACTAGACTCAGGAGCCCAGCTGGCTTCACCCAGTGGATCCTGAATGGAGGCTGCAGGTGGAGCTCCCTGCCTGCCGCCGGCATTCCTCAGCCCTTGGGTGGTCAATGGGACTGGGTGCTGTGGAGCAGGGGGCGGCGCTCTTAGGGGAGGCTCCGCGGCACAGGAGCCCAGGGAGCGCGGGGGAGGCTCAGGCATGGCGGGCTGCAGGTCCTGAGCCCTGCCCTGCGGGAAGGCAACTAAGGCCCGGCGAGAAATTTTGAGCACAGCAGTTGCTGGCCCAGGTGCTAAACCCCTCACTGCCCCGGGCGGTGGGGCCGGCCGACTGCTGGGAGTGCGGGTCCGCAGAGCCCACGCCCACCCGGAACTCGCGCAGTCCTGGTTCCCCCCAGCGCCTCTCCCTCCACACCTCCTGGCAAGCTGAGGGAGCCGGCTCCGGCCTTGGCCAGCCCAGAAAGGGGATCCCACAGTGCAGGGCGGGCTGAAGGGCTCCTCAGGTGCCGCCAAAGTGGGAACCCAGGCAGGGGAGGCGCCGAGAGGAAGCGAGGGCTGTGAGAACTGCCAGCAAGCTGTCACCTCTCACTATCACTCATAGAAAAGCAGAGGATAACTAGTCTTCTGACTCCAATAATCAGCCTTTCCCTTTAGCACTTTTTTTTTGTTTGTTTTTAGACGGAGTCTCGCTCTGTCGCCCAGGCTGGAGTGCAGTGGCGCAATCTCGGCTGCAAGCTCCACCTTCCGGGTTCACACGGTTCTCCTGCCTCAGCCTCCCGAGTAACTGGGACTACAGGTGCCCGCCACCACGCCCAGCTAATTTTTTGTATATTTAGTAGAGATGGGGTTTCACTGTGTTAGCCAGGATGGTCTAGATCTCCTGACCTCGTGATCCACCCGCCTCGGCCTCCCAAAGTGCTGGGATTAACAGGCATGAGCCACCCCGCCCAGCCCCTTTTGAACTTTTACAGTGAGAGTTTACATCTGGGATTTTCCCCTCCAAGCACTGCATGGAACCCATTCAAATCTGGTCTTAATTTTGGAGTAGGGCTGGCCTCATGGGCATATGACTTGTGCAGTCACATAGGACCTATACTCAGAAGGGCCCCTTGCTTGGTTTAATGCCATTTTTGCCACCTTGAAATTCTTTCTTCTTTTTTTTTTTTTTTTAGAAGGAGTTTCGCTCTTGTCCCCCAGGCTGGAGTGCAGTAGCGCGATCTCGTCTCACTGCAACCTCCGCTTCCCAGGTTCAAGCAATTCTCCTGCCTCAGCCTCCTGAGTAGTTGGGATTACAGGCTCACGCCACCATGTCCGGCTAATTTTTTTTTTTTTTGTATTTTTAGTAGAGACAGGGTTTTGCCATGTTGGCCAGGCTTGTCTCGAACTCCTAACCTCAGGTGATCTGCCCGTCTCAGCCTCCTAAATTGCTGGGATTACAGGCGTGAGCCACCGCACCCAGCCGCCATCTTGAAATTCTTAGTAATTTTTTATTTTTTATTTTTGGAGACAAGAGTCTCGCTCTGTTGTCCAGACTGGAGTGCAATGGCGCCATCTCGGCTTACTGCAGCCTCTGCCTCCCAGGTTCAATAGATTCTTCTGCCTCAGCCTCCCAAGTAGCTGGGACTATAGGCACCCAACACCACACCCGGCTAAATTTTTTGTTGCCCAGGCTGGTCTTGAACTCCTGAGCTCAGGCAGTCCGCCCGCCTCGGCCTCCCAAAGTGCTGGGATTACAGGCGTGAGCCACCGCACCTGGCCCTTAGTAATTTTTGAACAAGGAGCCCTGCATTTTTATTTTGGACTGAGCCCTCAAAATTCTGTAGCCAATGTTGTTGCAGTGGTTTGCTTTAACAATATCAGGAAGAATGATACGTATGTGTAATGCATGGCTAATTTTTTAAAATGTGAGATTCGTGCTTATTCCACTTGGATATATTTAGGCACTAAGACAAAATGTCCCTGGTCAGAGTTGAAGCTACACCAGTATTTGAAGTGCTAAAATGTATTCCTTCTTTCCATTAACACCTCTCTTCTCCTTCCTGTCCATTAAGATCTTTATGCTGCTTCCTGGACTTCTCTCAGCCCCTCTCCCCGATGTCCCACCATTTGCCCACCATGAAAAATACAATACACATGTATATTGTTCATTTACACACAATGCTATCAATACATGCCCCTTTTCCATTTCCTGCATTGTGCCATTGGAAAGCAACCTCAGAAGCTATTTTAGTAATTCTTCTGAGGTCTTTTCGTCACGGCCTTCACCACCATGGAAATGGTGTGGATTTTTGAGAAAGTTCTCAGAAGAGAGCACACCTGCCTCAGGCTTCCCCCATCCTCACTAAAATGCCGTCTTTATTCTGTCTTACCAAAGATCCTCTCCCCGCCACGGATGAGGGGAAAGAAAGCAATGACAAAAAAGAGAAAGTATCACATTTTTTCATGCGCTCATTCTTCAGACTCAACCCTTTAACCTGATACATTGATTTTACCTTTGAACATTTTCATGTAAACAAGTCCTTGCACTCATTTCAAAATCCTGACTCCTTGGCCATCCATGCCTTGTCATGTGTTCTTAGCCTTATGTTGATACACACATGGGCCTTGTTGATACACACGTGAGCCATGTGACACTATTTGGCTCCTTTATTATCCAATATCTTAATATTTTGTAGTAGGAAAAAACAACACAGAAACATGGCCATGCCATTGCTTTCTTCCTTCCTCTCTTCTTTCCTTCTTGCCGTCCCTCCCTTCCTCTCTTTCTCCCTTCCATTTCAAACTTCTCCTTTGGAAGCAAGTCTGAAGATTTTGTTTCCTGTTGAAATAGTGAAAAAAAAAAAAAGAAAAAAACCTTTCAGTTTGAAAGACAAGGATATTATGGGCTGTGTGTGCAACCATGAAGCTGCTATGTCAGCAAAAGCCTTTTGTTCACCACAGGAAGCAATCTGATCATAACAACTTCCTTTCAATATTCAATACAACTATTGTCCCTGAAGCTTATCAGATAGACAAACTAACAGAAATCCACATTGGCAACAAAATATAAATGATATTTTCTGTAATCACTAAACTATACTTCTCTCAAAGTGACTCTAGTTTTTTTATTTTCTCTGTTTATTAGCATGTATTGCTCACCGATTTTGGTGAAAGATTTGAAAGTGGAGTTTGTAAACAGGTGACACTTTGATTTGTTGAATTGAAACTGCATTTGTGACTTGAAGCAACTGACAAGAAAGAGAGAGAAATGACTATTTAGATGTTTGTGGCTTCCTACACTGCTCCATTTCCAGTAAGAATAGTATGTAGGCAGTAACTACAATATATCTGTGATGTCAGCTTCATCTGCAAAGTCAGCATTGTTTTATTCCCCCAAAAAAGTTTTTTTGAAACCACAAATCATGTCGATGCCTTTTTGTTTTTAATTTGAGGGACTTTTATCCTTTCTATGTTATCTCCAGCTCCCCTACTTCACATTAGACAATTATTTTCTGCTTAGCTATTATACTAGTAAGCACCAGAAAGACAATCCATCACCTCTTGGGTTAAGAATAATGACTTAATCTCTTGTGGAAAAAAACCTGTCTCCGGCATTCTTTGTGGGTGATAATCTTCTTATTGGAATTCCTCAACCCTTCCCACATTCCCCATTCTCTCCCTCCACATGAGCAACACTATATTGGACAAAGAGACAAACCACTGTTTCTCCTTCTTTGCTTTTCTTCAGTCTTAGTTTAAATGACATTTCTACTGAAGGGATCCAGAATATACCCAGTATGCAGAGTCATTAAACTTCCTTACTGCTAGTTACAGTGAGGTTTTGTTGTTGGTATTTTTGTTTGTTTGTTTAGTGAAATGACTTTTTCTTCCAGTGTTTTCTGTTCTCCTTTCCCTTCTTCACTTAGTAACTCATTGTATCTCTTCAGATCCCTTCTTGAAACATTCCCGTTCCTGTTTTTTTTGGACCCAGCTTGACTCCCACACAATCTAATTCCCTTTACACTCCTCTTCATGTACTTGCCAAGGTTGCAAATGTGCTTAATTGTATCTTTTCTGCATTCAAATTTTAGTTCTTCTCTTTTTTGTGTTTAAAACATTCAAGTTTTTCTTAGAATAGATTACCCAGTCTGTTCCATTCTACTTTTTCTCTTAGGTTAGAAATAAAGATAAACAGAATAAAGGACAGTAGATTTTTATGACACAGAGCTAAGTGGTTTAGGGCTTACATTTTCCTTAGTCCTGTGAGTTAGGTGTCTCTTCAGCCATCGTGTAGAGTCTCAGGGCATATGTCACTCTGGTGTATGGGAAGTTTGTTCCCAACAAGCCAGGGAGGATTTTTAGACATCATATACTACAGGGAGAGGAAGAAGATTCCCAGAGGAAGCTGCAAGACATGGATACAAGAATGGAAGAAGAAAAAAGCTAGCTGAGAAATTAGTTTGATGAGGTCATAGTTTTGAACAGATGTAAAATTGCTAGTTTGGTCTCTGTTATTCCTATAGCTCAATTCCTGGTGTACTCTTCTCAATGCACCTACTTCTTTGGGAATCCATCTAAGTCCCCCCACCTGGACGGATCAGGTATCTAGTGTGAAATATTGCACCACATCCCTTTAACTTCCTTGGCTTTGCGATTTCACAGATTGAAGCAGCAGTAGTAAATTTGCCTTTCACTGGTTCCCTCTATACGTGAACCTTCCTTGCCCTCTGAGGCTCTGATGACCAGCTGCATGGTGAGGCAGTGTGCTCAAGGTGCCCCCCAGCATGATGGTATTTGGGTTCTTATGCTGGATCTGGGGCTGATGCCAGCGACAAGCACTAGCTGCACTTTCATGCTGGTGACAGGCAATGCTAGGTTGTGAAGTGTCCCTTCAGACAGAGATTGCATGAAAACAAGATGGAAAACATCAGTGCTATTGCTATGTTTCAGTCTCAAAAGCAAAGCAAGCAGTGTCTGTAGTGTTCCCTTGAAAGTTTTCTCTAAGACTTTGGCTAGCATACTGGGAAATTTTGTCTTCTCATACATATATCTGAGAAATGTTGACAGTTGGAACCTGAGCTAGGGTACGGTTGACAGGTCAGTGAACTCTGTATTATCATAGGGAGTTTCTTTTTTTTAGAGAGAGTCTCACGTTGCCCAGGCTAGAGTGCAGTGGCTATTCACAGGTGCGATCATGGATCACTTGAGGCCAAGAGTGCAAGGCTGTAGTGTGCACAGCCTTGAATTCTTGGCCTTAAGTGATCCCTGTCCCAGCCTCCTGAATAGCTGGGACTACAGGTACACACCACTGTGTCCAGCTAGGGAGTTGAAGCCTTCATGTTACAGATAAAGAAATTTGGGGCTAAAGGAGGTTGAAAGACTTATTAAACATCACACAACTTGTCAGTGGCAGAGCCAGAGCTAAAACTCTGGTCTCTGAACTCCTGGCCTAGTATTCTTTGCATTATAACACACTGCCCAACAGTGCTTGTGCTTGCATCTGCTGGCTGGCCCAGGGTGCCAAGAGACAAAGGCCAATGACGTGACATACCTTTTTAATGTAATTGGGCTTCTTAATGTTATTTTTCTGGACATTATGGATAATACTTCTATCTCTCAATATTCTGAATAAAAATATAATGCATACTCATTATGGAGAATAGGAAACTTGGAAACATAGAAGAAAATAATATTTTATAACTTGATTATCCAGATAGGATCACTATTAATATTTTATTTCTTTCTTTTTCCCCACCTGTGTGTGTGTGTGTGTGTGTGTGTGTGTGTGTGTGTGTGTGTGCCGGTGTATTCATGTGCATTTACAAAATTGGGATTATATATTTTGTATCAGCTGGGCTTCTTTCTTTAGTGCAAATAACAGAAACTGACCCAGTTACAAACTTAAGGAAGGAAAGGAATTTCTTGGCAGTCCACAGAATAAAAAACACCCAGGCTTTGGAAGATTAGGACCCAGGAAGGTTCAGGGAGCTCTGCAGCAGAAACTCAGAGCTGCTTTTTTCTCAGAATAGAGAATAATTACTGGGTAGACCAAAATAGCACTGTAGATAGATGTCCCAGCTTTGAAATTCACAATCATATCT
This sequence comes from Homo sapiens, assembly GCF_000001405.40. NCBI lineage: Eukaryota > Metazoa > Chordata > Mammalia > Primates > Hominidae > Homo > Homo sapiens. The sequence goes on along the minus strand of NC_000004.12, from coordinate 86,541,646 downwards.
TGGATGAGTACAGAGTTTCTTTAAATTTCTCTGTAACTGAATTTATTTTGTCACTAGTTCAGTGCAACTCTGTCTGTCTCTTCGAGGTTATTATCACATTTGAAGTTCAGCCTCCCTCTCAGGGCTATTTTTCCCTCTCAAGATTTTTCCTTTCTACCACTTCTTCTCCCCTTCCTGGTGGCGGTCTTTGGGAATAGAAAAAGCTCACGCTACCACCCTGCTGCAAGGAAGGCATATCTGGTCTTTGTGTGACCCTCCATTCCTTCCTGGCTGTGAAGTCTTGTTTACATGGATTTTGCCTATGGGTTTGTTCTGGACACTGGGCAGTGCAGTGCAGAGCAATTACTCCCAGGAGTTTGGTTATCTTCTCCTGCTGCTGCTGAGAACCAACTACCCCTGGCTTTAGTGTGGGACCTCCCAATTCTCTGCTATGTCTCCCCTGCCCCCACTCCCCACTTTCCCCATAAGCCAGCTGTCGCATTGTTCCCAGATCTCTCCCATGCCCCTTTCAAGATTTCAAGAATGCCCCATGGGGATTGTAGGGGCTGGTAGGGTAGGAGCCTCTCTCAGCCCCCACCCCACCCCAATCCTGACTTGGTGCCATTCATACTCTTTGCAGCCACCCTGCGTTATCAGTGGGCATTCTGAAAGTGGCTCCTCCCTGATTTCATGTAGGAAATCTAACAAAAGTACCTCTGCTTTTGTTGTTCAAGATAGGGTCTTGCCATGTTGCCCAGGCTGGTCTCAAACTTCTGGGCTCAAGTGATCCTCCCACCTCAGCCTCGCAAAGTGCTGGGATTTCAGGAATGAGCCACCACGCCTACCCCAAAGTACCTTCTTTTCTCATGTCAAGAAACCTATTTGGAAAGAGGCCAGTCCCCTCAGGGACTTTTCCTACATCTGACTTTCTTCTCTTTTTTCCCTCTTTCTCCATGCTCTTCCCTGCAGCCCAGGAAGGGAATTATTCTTCTTCCTTGCTATCAGGCAAGAATATATTAAGTACTGCATTATTTTTATTCTGTGATTAACTTTTGTAATCTCTGTGCTCTCGTCTTCTAGATTCTGCATCAGTTTTCCAATCATGTTCGTTTTTATTAATTCAAAAGAAAATCCTTCTCTTTCAATTGCCCAGTTTTTTTGTTTGTTTGAGACAGGGTCTCACTCTGTTGCCTAGGCTGGAGTGAAGTGATGTGATCCCGGCTCACTGCAACCTCCGCCTCCTGGGCTCAAGCGATCCTTCCACCTCAGCCCCCTGAGTAGTTGGGACCACAGGTGTGCGACACCATACCCGGCTAATTTGTTGTATTTTTCGTACAGACAGAGTTTCGCTATGTTGCCCAGGCTGGTCTCACTCCTGAGCTCAAGGGATCTGCCCAGCTTGGCCTTCCAAAGTGCTAGGATTATAGGTGTGAGCTAACACACTGTGCATGGCCCAGTTCTTACATATCAAAGGTGCTTTGCTTCAGGGTGATAAGCCTGCTATGAGTTAAAACACATTTAAGCATGCAATGGATTTCTCCTCTCCCAAAGACAATGGCTCTGATTGACCCAATGGATGGATTCAGTATTAATCTAATTGTTATAGGGCAATAGAAATAATTTGTGAAAAGGAAAAAACCCTTTGGTTAAAATTTTCCAATGACAGCTCCACATTCAATTTGATACCCTATGTTTTCTACTACCAAGATAATTTTTTAATCCAGGGCTGCATCGGATTTGCTTAGTCATTCTACAACTCATTTAACCTTCCTCCTATGATTGAATATTTAGAAGATTTTGTTATTATAATTAAGATTGTAACTAACATCCTTGGACACACATTTCTATATGCCTCTTATTCTATTTGACAAGCATTTTAGTGGGACAGTTATTGGATCAGAAAGTTAAAATTTGAAAATATTCTTCATATATGTTGCAAAATGGTTCCCAAAAAGCTTGTTCTCACATGTGCCCCAGCCAACAGTATAGGAGGGCTTGAGACTTCTTACACACTTGCTGACATTGAATAATGATTTAATCTTAGCCTCTTGCAGCCCTCATTAGTTTATAGGAACAGAAAGGGCATATATTAAAAACTAACTTCAGTATTGCCCTTTTCCCCTCTTGCTAGCTGATGTAAGACCTCTAATGCTTTTGGAAATTCTCACTAATCCCTGCGACCAAGGGTTTCTAAAAGCACCAGGGCTTTCATGCTTGTGCTTATATTCCAACCTCCCTCTGATTGGCTTTGCCTCATCTAGTAGCTGAGGTTTGGAGCTTCAGAGGGTTTTGTGCAAAGTGTAGGACGATGTCTTTTCCCTCAGTGTGTCACTGTAATAGACCCGAAGCTGTGCTAGTATGTTCCAGTGCTTTAAAGATGTTGATGAAATTGCTCTTTCAGATTTTTTTCTTTATCTTTTTTTTCTGGATGCCCTCTCTTCCTTCCTCTGTAGGAGTTCAGTGAGGGAACTCGGCTAGAAGACAAATCTGAATGACAGATCCTGTTTTCCTGGGCTGAGCTCATTATTTCTAATTTCTTCCTTAGAATATATTCTTTTCCAAGAGGCTCTTCAGTTTGCATACAAATCGGTTTTTTGCAAGCCCACCTCATAACTACAACACTGATGGGGATTGATTTTCACTTAGACTCAAGCTGATGTGCCTATTACAGCATTTTTAAAAAAAGATTTTTAATTTGATAAGTGAAAATAATATCTTGTAGGTTTTTAAATTTGCATTCCTTTACTATTAAGGAGGCCAGGCATTTTTCTGTATATTTATTTCTAATTTCTGTTTCTTTCTTATGAATTGTCTGGTTAAGTCCTTTCTCATTATCTCAAGGTGTTTTAGTATGAGATTTAAGAATATTAGATATATAAGCCCTTGAGCTATCATATTAGTTAGAAGTAGTTCCCCTTTTTTGGTCTTTTCATTTTTATTACTATATGTACAAAAGTTTAACATCCTATGGAGTACCTTGTTCATGGATAGGAAGAGTGAATATTTTAAGGACAGCTCTACTCTCCAATTGGTTTATAGATGCAATGCAATTCTAATCAAAGTCTAAAAAGGTTCTATGTAAAACCTTACAGGTTTACTCTAAAATTTATATGGAAGAGGAAAAGGCTAAAAGCATCCAAAATACACTTAACGAAAAAGAGCAAAACAGGGAGGTTTGTCTCCCAGAAATTAAGATTTATTGGACCGGGCGCAGTGGCTCAGGGCCGGGTGCGGTGGCTCACACCTGTAATCCCAGCACTTTGGGAGGCCAAGGTGGGCGGATCACCTGAGGTCAGGAGCTCAAGACCAGCCTGACCAACATGGAGAAACTCCATCTCTACTAAAAACACAAAATTAGCTAGGCATGGTGGTACATGCCTGTAATCCCAGCTACTCGAGAGGCTGAGGCAGGAGAATCGCTTGAACCTGGGAGGCAGAGGTTGCGGTGAGCCAAGATTGTGACAATGCACTCCAGCCTGGGCAACAAGAGTGAAACTCCGTCTAAAAAAAAAAAAAGATTTATTATAAGGCTATAGTAATTAACACAATGTGGGATTTGTGTTGGGATAAAATACTCAGGTGGGAAAGGAGTGACTATTCAGTACATGGTGCTGGGTTAATTGATTACCCATAAGCAAAAAGGAGGAATTATCTTACTACACCAATCCATACATGAACATAGATTCTGTGTGAATTAAAGACTAAACTGTGAAAGATAAAACTTTGGAACTTTTAGAACACAGGACACTATCTTTACAAAAGAGGGGTGGGAAAAGATTTATAAAACAAGGCTCAGAAAGCACAAACCATAAAGAAAAAGATTAATAAATTCAACCATATTAAAATTAATAATGGCCATTTATCAAAAGATATTATAAAATAGTGCCCAGATAAGCCACAAAGTAGGAGATGACATTTTCCACACATATAACCTAGAAAGGAGTGGTTGGCAAAATAGGTAAAGAATCTCAAAAAGCAATATAACACAAACACAAACAACCTGACAGAATAATAGACAAGAGATAGAACCAAAAATATTTCTCAGGGAGGTACCTTGAGACTTGAATACCTATAAACTGGCTTCTCTGTCCTTTTGACGTGTCACAATCAGATTTTTCATGCTCATTTGGCACACTTTCTGCTCCAGCTCTTGAATCAGCCATTTCTCCAAGGAACCCTGGTTCCTTTGGGGAAGAATGGTATTTAGAAACCATGATTTGCATGCTGGGTGCAATTATTACTATTGGGATATCACCGTTCTTTCTCTGTGAATAGAGCTAGGGGATATTTGCATACACACACTTATATCTATGTTTATTTCCCTTTATATAAATAACACTGGAAATCACTGCATTTGCACTGATGCCTATAGTTGCCATCTATCACCACAAAGTTCAGTCTCATTTTATTCCTGGATCTCATTATTGTTAGTACTTTTACTTATTTGATCAGTTCTCTCATATGCACCACTCTGCCTTTGCCACCATCATCACCTCTCACAACAAAGACTTCTTTATATCACTTGGGCTCCAACATTCCCTGCAGGGCTACTGTTGTTGGACGCCATTGTGTGTATTCCCTCTTCATCCTACTGAGGTTCCGACAACCTGAGTCAGGCTACCCTCATGCCTGCGTACCCTCCTCACCCTGCCCAGCTTCCAACATCTATGCTAGGCCTTCTCCTATGCAGATGCTCATCTTACCCTCATCTTACCACCATGGCTTTCCCTATCCTGCTGCAAATGCCTATCCTATCCTACTTGTCTCTGCTGAAAGGCTTTATAACCAAATTCTTCTGGAAAAGAAGGAAAGAGAAAGAAGAAAGGCAAGAGCTACCTATAGATCTTTATGGTTTCATTTTTACTATTGTCTTTTTAATCTATGGGAATGCGGTATGATTTAAAGATAATTTTACTTATATCAAATCATCATTTACTAAATAATTCTTTATATTTCCATGTAAATAGCTTTTTGATTAGTATAATGCACAATGTTGAAAAAATGACTATTTTTATTTTTGAAGATAGTAGTAGAAAGACAACCTGAGGAAAAAGGAAGCAAATTGTTTGAGATTATGTATCTACAACTAAAGGAAGAAAAATAAAGCTGAATTTTCCCAAGACCAAATTTTTCTTTTAAGAAGACAGTAATATAATGTCCCATTTGGAAAGTTTTAAAATTAAATAGTGAAAGCTATTCATTAAAAAGTGAAGCCTTAGGATGAATAAACGTAATCGTGTCTGGGTTCTGTGACTGAATACATTAGTTGCATGTGGAGGATTGTTCTGTTATACACATCTGTTTTCATCTAGAAAAATAAACAAAAAAGCCCTTTCTTACCCTTGGCTCCACTTCTTTGAATTATGTCAAGTAAAATTAAACATTGAAAGGCAAAAGTGTCCAAAGAAAGCATGAATTTATATGAGCATATTTACTGTTATAAGTATTATGTAAGAAACTGCCTGCTGAGTGTTCAAGAGGTTTTTTGGTGTAGACTATGCTTTTCTATGCAACACTAAATTATTTATTAGATAGTTGTTGCCTTGAGCCAGACTGTCTCCCCATTTTTCCTACATCAATTGAGTAGAAAACCTCATAGTTGTCAATCTCTGGGGACAAGGGGAAATAAAATGTCCTATTATATTTCTTCCTTATTGCATTACTATAGCCTCACTATGAACTTCTTCTGGGTTACATCTTATGATTCTCTTGAGTCTACTTTATTCCCTAAGAGCACAGTGGCCATAGACTTGATAGGAATCTTCTGGGTTTATCTATCATATTTGATAAGATGTTTTGACGTGTCTTGTACCAGATTATAATAGACAAGCAAAACATTTTGAAATTTCAGCCCTGGGAATTTGGTAGATCACATTCTTTTGGCTCAGCTTGTTTTTCATTTTTCCCTTTGAGGATTGTTTTACTACCAAAGTAAATTAAAGAGTATTTGGAGACATAGATATCTCATAGCATAAAATGTACACTGGGCTGTGAGTCTATATATAAAGGAAGAAAAAACAAAAAAAAGTACACTCATTTCAGTGTAGTCTTGGGCAGGGTGTGGTGTTTATGCCTGTAATCCCAGCACTTGGGGAGGCTGGGGCAGCATAGCAAGACACTGTTTCTAAAAAAAACAAACAAAAAATTAGCGAGATGATTACTTGAGCCCAAGAGTTTAGGGCTGCAGTGAGCTACAATAGCGACACCGCAGTCCAGCTGGGATGACAGAGTGATAGTTTGTCTCAAAAAATATATATATTCTTGGATTAATTAAGTGTATTGTTAATGTGATACAAGACAGTTAACTTAGGCTGTATCTTCATGTGATGCTTGGGTTGCCCATTTTGAATGAATTGTTAAAACTGTCCAGGCAGTAATTAGCTTGTATTTTTTTCTGTAAATTTTCAAATTTTGTAAACTCTTTCTGGAACTTTCTGGCTTTGGTAGGAGAGTCTCAGGTGATCACTTCTCAGAAACAAATTTCAAGGGGCCATTTCCGTTCTCTTACCAACAAAACTCAAAATGGAAACAAGGACCTAAAAATCAGGATAGGAAAAGAGTATTAAGCCATGTATATAGATGGACATGAATCTGTGGCATTGGTTTTCTAAGTCCCAGGGTAGAAAAGTGACCTCTTCCATCAGCAGGGTCAGACGTTTTATCCTTTGCTCCTAAAGATGACTGGAGAAGGTATGAACTGATCTTTTAAAAATCAGCTTTTTATTTATTTATTTTCTTCTTCTTGTTTTTGTTTTTGTTTTTGAGACAGAGTCTCGCTCTGCCACCCAGGCTGGAGTGCATTGGCGCGATCTCGGTTCACTGCAACCTCCGCCTCCTGGGTTCAAGCAATTCTCCTGTCTCAGCCTCCTGAATAGCTGGGATTACAGGTGTGTGCCACTACGCTTGGCTAATTTTTGTATTTTTAGTAGAGATGGATTTTCACCATGTTGGCCAGGCTGGTCTCGAACTCCTGACCTCAGGTGATGGGCCTGCCTCAGTATCCCAAGGTGCTGGGATTACAGGTGTGAGTAGTGACTCATGGCCTGATTTTTGAATAATTTTAGATTTACAGAAAGATTGTAATGATAGGACATAGTTTCCATATACCACTCACTCCGTTTTTCTTAATGATAATATCTCACAATACCATTGTGCATTTGTTAAAACTAAAAGGCAACATTGGTACATCACTATTAATTAAACTTCAGACTTTTTTCAGACTTCACTCATTTTTCTCTAATGTTTCTTTTGTCTTCCAAAATCCAACCTGTGATAACACATTGCATCTAGTTGTTATGTAACAGCTTGCGTGAAATGTTGGGAACTTAGGCAAGCAGAAGAAAAATATTAAAAAATAAATTTATTCTTAAAGAAATTCTGTGGTTAATTTTATAACTAAGTCTTTTCTGTATTGGTGTTGTGATGATTCCTGAAAATGTCTAAGTGACATACTAGTTATATTTCAAAAAATGTGGCATGCATAGTCAAAGATACTGCAAAGAGTATAAAGACATATAAGACAGGGCCTCTGCCTTTTAGAGAGGTAAATAATATAAGGAAACATTATGTGGTGGGGAAGACAAGTATTAATGAAGAGCCTTGAGAGCTGTAAGGGAAATAAATTTAGTGGTTATGGCAACAGGATCCCTGGGGAGGTAGAAGAGGGCTGTGTCTTTAGAGGCACCAGGGGCTCATGATTCTAGGAGAGTAATGGTGCTTCTGTGAGATAAACAGGAAAATGGGGACATTGGAGGGGATTGGTTCCTCTCTTGTGAGAGAAACATGCTCACAATTCAGGAAGCAAATAAGGTTGAGTCCATGGGGCATGAAGTCCACAGAGGTGGGAAGTCCAACAGTGGGATAGTGAATAGGAAGCAATATTTTAATGAAATATGTTTGCTCAGTAACTGTTGGCTCCAAACCACTAATACACTTGATTTTAAGGTAATACCATTCAGAATCAGGCTACAAAGTGGTACACACCTGTGGTCCCAGATACTTGGAAGACTAAGGTTGGAGGATCACTTGATCCTGGGAGGTGAAGACTGTAGTGAGAAAGACCAAAGGTACTTGCAGAGCAAATATTGTCTTAGGATATCACAGTAGGGGAGATATTTAGCCCACTAGTTAGGAATCTCAAAAGGATGGGTACTGGTGGAGATCTCCATTTTGGTTTTCTACTGAACCCTCAGTACTGTACTTTTTTGAACAATTCATTTAAAATTTTTATTTCTTTATTTTATTATGGTATATACATAGCAAAATTTACCATTTTAATCTTTTTTAAGTACACAATTCATTGGCACTTAGTACATTCACATTGTTGTGTAATTATCACTGCTATCCATCTCCAGAACTTTTTCTTCATCCCATGCTGAAACTCTGTACCCATTAAACAATAACTCTTCATTTTCCCCCCCTTTTACCCCTCGTAACCAGTGTTTTACTTTCTCTCTCTATGTATCTGGTTACTCTAGGCACATTGTGTAAATGAAATCATACAGTATCTTTCTTTTTGTGTATGACCTATTTCACTTAGCATAATGTTTTTAAGGTTCATCTATATTGTGGTGCTCTACTTATATTCCTTAAAGTAGTCACAGTCAAATTATGCTGAGTTTGTTTTTTTTTTCCTGAGGCAGTTCATAGGCTAAGATAAATAGCAGGACACACAAAACACACATTGGAGGGGAAGAATATGCAAAGTCATTAGTAGAGGTAGGATACTGTGGTAGCCAACACAAAGGCCCCAATCCCTTAACTGCTAGAGGTAGAGCTGGAGATTGTGGACCAGGCAAGGAAGGACCAAGCCACAAGGCAGAGGCCACTGGTGTGAGGCTGGGATACTGGACTGGGATGGAGATGTCAGGCAGGAAGAACCTGGTAAACCTGTGGGCCCAAGAGTAGTAGTGCTTATGGAGGTCATTGGAGATTCAGAAAAGTGGAGGGAAAGACTCTCCAGTGAGTGACTCAGATACCTAGGAGGGAGAGGCCACTTGGCTCAGGTGCCAAGGAGGGAAAAGATAAGAGTTCAGTGGATCCAAGAAAGTTTTTAAGGAAAAGGTGGTATATAAATGAGTAGCATTTGGATAGGAAGAGAGGACTGGAACAATGATTTACTCCAGAGGAGGTGGCGTTAGGACCGATAGCTGGAAACCACAACATGCTTTTGGACCTAAGTAGACCAGTTTGGTTGGGGCTTTATGGAATGCAGAAGGAGATAGGGGTAGAAGCCAGTTATTGGCAAATAAGTTATTCAGATTATTTGGAAAGCAACAGACATCAGTAGAAAATGTTTATCTTTTCCTTTGCCTCAACTGTCATTGAGCTTGATTAGAATAGTTAGCACTTCTTGCCTTATAGTAGCTTGGGAAATGTCTCCATCTCCTAGGAGAATATAAACTACCTGAAGGTAGCACCACTTTAAAGATAGTGTCCCTTGTAGTGTGAAGCACAAAGTCTTAAATTCTTTATTCCTCATTAAATATTATTTGAATTGAATGGTAATTAGATTAAGGATTTTGATGGGAGCTTCTTTGCCCTGGAGCTTTTAAAATTATATATATATGTATGTATATATATATGTATATATATAAAAATAATATATATAAAAAATAATATATATATGTAATTAAAAAAATTTAGAGACAGAGGTCTCACTATGTTGTCCAGGCTGTCTTTGAACTCCTGGTCTCAAGCAATCCTTCTACCTCAGCTCCCTGAATAGCTGGGATTACAGGTGCAAACCATCGTGCCCAGTGCCTGCCCTGGAGCTTCTTGTCTAAGACAATGGGACCCAGTTTGGAGATGAGTGGCTCCTGTCACCATTTCCTACTGGTAAGTGGGATCTTTGGCTGAGGCTTCCTGGCCTAATGTCCAGCCTTCTCTTGCCATTCAGCTCTCCCCTCCCCCAATCCTGGATGCTTTGTGTCAGGAGAAACCATGGCTTGCCATCTGTGATAACTCCAAATCCTGTCCCCATTTCACATTGGAGATGCTTCCCCTGGTGGTAACTTTCACCATCCCTTTCTATACTACGTCTCCCAGAGGATTAGATTAATCCCCTCCAATCTACCTCAAGTTTAAAAGCTGTTTAGTTGCTGCCCTCTTGGTGAGGGAATCAGGGAGTTCACCCTTCAGAAACCAGTGCTTCCTCTTTCCTGCAGTGGGTCGAGGAAGAGATTCTTTATTCTTCACTGACAAGTTTATAGCAATAATAGTAGTATCAACAATAATAGCAAAATAACCCATAACAATGACCACCACCACCTCAAAACAACTCCAAGGCATCATCTTTTTCCTTACTAATTCATCTGATTGTAGACCATGTACCCTCATCGAGGGGATGTGAATGTATCCTCAGCGTGAGGGACCTTAAACATGATTGTAATGTAATAGGCTCAGATAGAATCAATTACTTTATGACTTGCTTAGGCAAAGACTGATTAACCTTAGGGTTTGATAAACAGAGTGGAATCTGGAGGAAAAGTAGCCAGTGAAGGAAAATTTTTTAGTAAATCCCCAGTGCTCTTCAATTTAAATGGTCTGGTCATGTTGACAGGTATTGTTATGATGAAAAGGGATGTGCCAAGTGATAGCTTGGTGACCATGGAGATCATCCAGCTCCCCACTTTTGCTATGATTTCTTCTGTGTTGGTCAGTTCCAGATTCTGCATGGTCCAGATCTCATCATGGTTGCTAGGCAGCCCTGAGAAGTCCTACTGAAGTGGCCAGTCAGCCTCTCTAAGTAGTCTTCTTGTCTCATTTACACCCAAGTTCAAAAAAGACATTTCTGTTTATATGAAGATGACCACAGGAAAAAGATGCATTTTCTCTTGGTAGATGCTATGATCTGAATGTTTGTATTTCCCCCAAATTCATTTATTGAAACCCAGTCACCAATGTAGTGGAGTTGGGAGGTTGGGCCTTTAAGAGATGATTAGTTCATAAGGGCAGAGCCTTCAGGAATGGGATTAGTATCCTTATAAACAGAGGCTCCAGAGAGCTTTCACCATGTGAGGATGTGGCAAGAAGGTATTTTTTGTGAATCAAGAAATGGGCCCTCACGAGACACCAAATCTGCCAGTGCCTTGATCTTGGACTTTCCAGCCTCCAGATCTGTCAGAAATAAATTTCGGTTGTTTTTAAGCCACCCAGTTTATGGTAAATTGTTATAGCAGCCTGAACAGACTAGGACAGTAGACTCTTGTTTTCCCACTGTGTGCTGTGGTACATATTGGTGACATGGGTAATTGCTTTACCTATGAAATGGAAATGTTTCACTCATCCATTCATTCATGCAATAGATATTTATTGAAAGTCTGCTATGAGCTAGGCACTATTCTAAGTGTTGGAACTACAAAAATGAATCAGATAGGCATGGTTTCTGTCCATGGGGCTTATATATTAACCCAAATCAGAAAATCCTGACCTTTCATTTAAATCTTTCTCTTTTATTGAGTTCTCACCCAAGGTTCTTAAATGTCAGACTGCTTGTATTTGAATCTATTGTAGATTGCCTGGACACAGCCCTGAAGATTCTGATCAAGTGGATCTCAGATAGAGCCAGGAAGTCTGTACTTAAAAAAAAAAAAAAAAAGGAAAAACAAAACCAAAAGCCCCTTGAGTAGATTAATATACAGCCAAAAGCCCCTTGAGTAGATTAATATGCAGCTAGGTTTGAGAGCCAATATTAAAAAAAAATTCTAATTATTTAAAACTAAACTTGTGGATGTGTCTGAATCATATATGGATGATGGGAACTAAGCACATAGACAAACATTATAGGGTGTCAAGGAGGAATTTTCCTTATGCCATGTAACTACTGCTAAGACCCAAACTGAGGACAAAAAATACAATGTGTTCCATATTCTAAATTTATAGAGTCATCAGAAATTGGAATCAGCCATCCTTCTGCAGGGCTTTCTGAGATGCCCCTAGTTAGGGAATTGGCCCAACCACCCATCGCTGTTCCCATCTCCCAGGGGAGGTTGGGAGAGAGGAAGCCAACCTCTTGGGGAGTATGTGTACAGACTATTCATTCTCTCAAGTCAAGTATGTGAGAGAGGGGAGCTCGAGCAAATAACTTGAAAAGAAGCAAATAACTTGAAAAGAAAAATAAACAGACATTTTGTTTCCTGGCTGTATGACCTTCTGAAGTAGTAGACTTCCTGATGTGCTTTATTTGCTACTGAAATGTGAGAAAATAGAATGCAGTGGAGAAGGCATGAGTGGGGCCTTTCTAGGTGGAGGTGGGGGCCGGTGACAATGGCCTCCTCCTTCAAAATAGGGGTAAAGTCCTCACATGCCTGCAGACTTGAGAGTTGGTGCAGAGAATATGAGATTGGAAACCACAAATGTCCCAGGATTGATGCAGTGTGGGGGGCAATGAGGGGCTCACCTGTGGAGAATGCCACCAAGCCTGCATCTGCCAAAGAAGGTAAACAGATCTTTCATCTAAGGGAAAACTTAGAGCCACCTCTGGTCCTCATCGAGCCCGGAGACAATAGGCTAAACTAGTGGTTACCATCAACTGCAGAGAGCATAGCAACAGTTGTATGCAGAGATGCTCATGCTTCCTTTTTGTTTTCTCCTTTCTCCCTTTCCCAATCCCAAAGGAGGTCACACCCAGAAGAAGGAAGAGGTTGGTGGTGGTGACAGAGAGTTAGAACTCTTCCCTTCACCCAACCCTACTTCCCCCACCCCACCAAATTCCCAAAACTTTCAATCTAAAACTGAAGGTCTAACCTCTTCTGGGTAATGGGACATGTAGAGTTATGATTGAATATAAAATCGAAGTGTTTAAATGAATAGGACTAAGTCTGAAATATCTGAATGAGAGTGTTCTAATAACCAAATTAGACTGAAAAGCACAAAATTAGGCAAGATATATTTGGGGGGTTACCGTTCACCAGGAAAGTTTGGGGCATTTACTGGAAAAATAAAACCACTGTGTGTCTAAGTTGGGTGTGGTGGTACATGCCTCTAGGCCCAGCTACTTGGGAGGCTGAAGCAGAAGGATCACCTGAGGCCAGGAGTTTGAGGTCTCAGTGTGCTATGATCACTCCTGTGAATAGCTGTAGCACTTGAGCCTGGGCAACATAGTGAGGCCAATAAACAAACAAAGAACCCCCTCAAAATATTGTATGTTCATAATGAGTTGAGATGCCTTAGTAGACTTAAAATATTTTATTTAAAGGTTTAAAAATAATTATATGTGCCATATCACGGAATTCAAAATATATAGAAGGATAAAAGTAAAAGATAAGTTTTCTTTTCTGGTCCTCTCCCTCAACTATGCAATTTTTATGTTGTTTTTTTTTTCTGAAAATATCATGGAATTGCTTTATATTAAAACTTCCAATAGTCATCTAGTTCTATATCAGTTCTATAGCATTGATGAACATATGCAAGAAATATATGGGTTAGATATATTTCCACATTCTATGGTTACATTTCTTTTCCAAAGTTTCCTTTTCTCTCTGTGTGTTTTTAAAATAGTATCAACTTTTGTTTTATTATAGATTCAGAGGGCACAAGCACAGGTTTGTTACATGAGCATATTGTGTGGTGCTAAGGTTTGGGGTACGAATGATCCCATCACCGAGGTAGTGAGCATAATACCTAATAGGTAGTATTTCAGTCCTTGTCCCCTCCCTCGCTCCCCCTTCTAATAGACCCGAGTCTATTGTTCCCATCTTTATGTCCTTGGGTACCAGAGGTTTAGCACCCATTTATAAGTGAAAACATATGGTATTTGATTTTCTGTTCCTGTGTTAATTCACTTAGGATAATGGCCTCCAGCTGCATCCATGTTGCTACAAAGGACATGATTTCATTCTTTTTTATGCTGCATAGTATTTCATGGTGTATATTTTCTTTATCCAGTCCACTGTTGATGGGCACCTAGGTTAATTCCATGTCTTTGTTATTGTGAATAGTGCTGTGATGAACACACAAGTGCATGTGTCTTTTTGGTAGAATGATTTATTTTCCTCTGGCTATATACCCAGTAATGGGATTGCCAGGTCGAATAGTAGTTCTGTTTTAAGTGCTTTGAGAAATCTCCAAACTGCTTTCCATAGTGGCTGAACTAATTTGCATTCCCACCAACAGTGTATAAGCATTCCCTTTTCTCCACAGCCTCACCAGCATCTGTTGTTTTTTTACTTTTTAATAATTGGCATGCTGACTGGTGTGAGATGGTATCTCATTGTAGTTTTGATTTGCATTTCTCTGATGATTAATGGTGTGGAGCATGTTTTTCATGTTTCTTGGCCATTTATATGTCTTCTTTTGAAAAGTATCTGTTCATGTCCTTTGCCTACTTTTTTTTTTTTTTTTTTTTTTTTTTTTGGCAACAGTGTCTCACTCTGTTGCTCAGGCTGGAGTACAGTGGGACGATTACAGCTCCCTGCGGCCTCGACCTCCCAGGCTCAAGTGATCCTCCCATCTCAGCCTCTTGAGTAGCTGAGACCACAGTTGTGCCACAATGCCTGGCTAACTTTTATTTTTAACTTTTAGTAGCGACAAGGTCTTACTAGGTTGCCCAGACTGGTCTCAAATGCCTGAGCTCAAGCTATCCTCTTGCCTCAGCCTCCAAAAATGCTGGGACTATAGGCATGAGCTACTGTGCCCAGCCACTTTTGCCTGCTTTTTAATGGGGAACCTACTCCAAGATTGACCACATGCTTGGCCATAAAGCAAGTCTTAATAAATTCAAAAAAGTTGAAATAATGCTAACCATCTCTTGGCCCAGAGTGGAATAAAAATATAATTCAATACCAAAAATATTTTTCAAAAGCACACAGTTTTATGGACATTAAACAATTTGCTTCTGAATGACTTTTGGGTAAACAAAGAAATCAAGGCAGAAATCAAAAAATTCTTTGAAAATAGAGATACAGTATACTAAAATCTCTGGGATGCAGCAAAAGCAGCATTAAGAGGAAAGTTTATCACACTAAATGTCTACATTAAGAAGTTAGAAAGATCTCAAATTAATGATCTAACATCACATGTAAAGGAACTAGAAAAAAACTAACCTAAAAGCTAGCAGAAGAAAGGAAATAACTAAAATTGGAGCCAAAGTCCAGGAAATTGGGAACCTAAAATCTATATAAAGTATCACCAAAACCAAAAGTTGCCTCTTTGAAAGGATGAACAAGATCAATAGAATCAATAGACCACTAATTAGATTAACAAAGAAAAGAGAAGGTTCAAATAAGCATGATCAGAAATGACAAATGTGACATCATAACTGATCCCACAGAAGTACAAAAGATCATCAGAGACTATTATGAACACCTCTAGGCGCACAAGCTAGAAAATCTAGAGGGAAATGAATACACTCCTGGAAATGAAACACATGACCTCTCTGGACTGAATCAGGAAGAAATTGAACCCTGAAGAGACCAATATCAAGTTCCAAAATTAGTAATAAAAAAACCTACCATCCCCCTAAAATCCCTGGATAAGATGGATTTACAGCCGAAATCTACCAGATGTACAAAGAATAGCTGGTACCAATTCTACTGAAACTATTCCAAAAACATTGAGAAGGAGGGACTCTTCCTATCTTACTCTGTGAAGCCAGCATCACCCTGATACCAAAATCTGGGAAAGACACATGAAAAAAGAAAGCTGCAGGGCAATATCTATAATGAAGAGAGATGCAAAAATCCTCAACAAAATACCAGGGTTATCTTTTGAAAGCTATTGCCATACAGTAGACATCATCATTTCTCTGTGACCCAGTGAATCTCATTTTAGTGTTTGAAATTCCCCAGAAGCAGATGTTCAGAAAAATCTTCAGATTTTTGCTTTGTAATTTTGAAACTTTGAAACAGCTATTCCTATATTGTCTTACGTTTTGCTTATTCCCTATATTTTGTTTATTCACATAAAATTGGTTTATTCATTGAAGATTAGGTGCTTGTTCAGAGACTAACTTACTTCAGAAAGAATACTCGTAAGTGTTGAGCTCCATTCCTGGCTCCTCTAGTGATTTAAGATTCTGTGTTTATATTGTACAACCTTTATACTCACTTTTCTCCGTTATGAAACTGAATAAAGACAACTTGCTGTCTTCTACTTTGTACAGTGAGGGAAAAGCTTTGTTAGCCAGGAATAACTTTGTTCCAGGTCAAGGGTAGAGGTGGAGAAGTTCACTTGTTTCAGTGACTGGTTTTTAAGACTAGGGTGTGGGTGGGGTTAAAAAAAGTTTTCGCTGGCCTTAGGTCAAATTAAAATCTAGGTAACGTGAATACAAACCTGGGAACCTCCTCACTCTCATCCCTCTAGTCTAAATTGAATTTTAGCACTCTGTATTTGCTTGTGTTTCGTTTTCTTTTTCTTATTTTATTTTTTAATTGAGATGGGGTCTCACTCTGTCACCCAGGCTGGAGTCAGTGGCATGATCTTGGCTCACTGCAGCCTCTGCCTCCAGGGCTCCAGCCACCCTCCCACCTCAGCCTCCCAAGTAGTTGGGACAACAGGAGGGCACCACCACTCCTGGCTAATTTTTTGTATTTTTGGTGGAGACGGGGTTTCGCCATGTTGCCCAGGCTGGTCTCGAACTCGAGCTCAAGCGATCTGCCCGTGTCAGCCTCCCAAAGTGCTGGGTTTACAGGCATGAGCCATCATGCCTGGACTGCTTGTGTTTCTTTATGTCAATGATAATTATTCAGCTTGCTAACGCCTGAAGAATAGAGACTATAAATTATTTTTGCATACTCCACAACACAAACCTGAGTGTTTCATATATGGCAGGTACCAGATATTAGGTTGGTGCAAAAGTCATTGCGGGCTTTTTTTTTTTTTTGCACCAACCTAATTTAAATATTTGTTGAGTGATAGGCTAATGTAGGGTTAATTATCTAATGGATAGGAAACTAAAACAACAGCAGCAGAAGCAAGAACAACAACAACAACTTAAAAAAAACTAATTCAGTAATAGAAAGGGGAGAGAGAGTGTAAATGGCAGTGTTACATGACCAGAAACATGTTTAGGAAGATGAATATGTGCAAAGCTGCCAGATTTAACAAACAAATATACGGGAAACCCTGTATCTTACCTGGCAACCCTAGTATGGTGTTAATGTAGACTCTTTAGAAGACTTGAGAAGGAAGACAATGGAGATAACTAGGAGACTACTGAAATTATTGTGGGAGAAGAAACTTTCTGACAAATACATGTGCAAGAACTGAATTGAGGGCACACTGTGGAGGTAGAATGTACAGGACTTGCTGACTGGATGTGGAAGGTAAGGTAGAAGTGAAATCAAGTGATTACTTCAAGATTTTTAATTTAGATTACTAAGTAGGTGATTGCATAAAAATGATATCCAGAAAGCTAGGAGGAGAGTTAGAGAGTAAAGGGATTATCTTGGTCAATTTTGTGTTACCATAACAGAATATCTGACACTAGGTAATTTATAGAGAAAAAGGTTTATTTTTCTTATGATTCTGATGGCTGTAAAGTTCAAGATTGGGCATCTGCATGATGAGAGCCTCAGTCTCCTTCTACTTCATGGTGGAAGGTGAAGGGGAGCTTGTACGTGCAACGATCACATTGCAAAAGAGGAAGCAAGAGAAAGGGTGGGAAAAGCGGCAGGCTCTTTTTAACAACCAGCTCTCTTGGGAACTAATGGAATGGGAACTCACTCACCCTTGAAGGAGGATATTAATCTGTTCATGTAGGATCCACTCCCATGACCCAAACACCTCCCATTAGGCCCCACCTCCAACATTGGTGATCAGATTCCAACATGAGGTTTGGAGGGGACAAACATCTAAGCCAAGCGTAGATAGAGAAAGAAAATGAGTTCAATGTAAACATTTTTGAATTTGCCAGATGAAATAACCATCGGATATTTAGAGATATAGATTTAGAGCCTTTGAGAGATTTGGTAAATACAGACATATGATTGCCTTTAAAGGACTCTGGAAAGTAGGGGTAGATTTTGCTGGAATGCCAGGTGGTTGATCCAGGGTGAAGACATGTATCTCCTGAAGCTGAATTTGGATCAAGAAACGGAAGAGCCAAATGTATATAAATGTTCCCTTGAACAGTGGTGTATATATTAGTGTAATTTCACAATGGTGATGTAAATCCGAGTATAACAGAGAAGTGATGAAGCAAGAAAATTTCCCCTTAACTCTTGCAGAACTTTACCACAGTGGAAACTTACCAGAATCTCTGATGGTTTTGCCTTTGGTATGGGGAATAAAGGGCAAGAGATAAATTTGAATAGGCAGTGCTGTTGCTCCTGCTTAAAGCACTCCTGGAACTCTTAGCCAGGTATTTGTAGCCAGATGTATTCTTGGATAGCTCTATTAAAGACTTATAGTAGGAGGATATGTGTATGGCAGGGATTGGGGATGGGGGTCAGTGTGTTCCACAAATCCATAACCCTCCTGTAATGCTGCTGTGCTGCTCAATAAATATTTATTGAAAAAAAGTGAATGAAAGAGTGAATATTGAATAAATAGCTAGAGATATACCTATTAATAAACATAAAGGTAATAATAATAAAGGTATTAATAATATCAATATAAGTGTAGTAGAATGAATGATATGAAAAATTAGAAATTAATTATTTCCCATGAGTCTTTAGATGTCTAAGGAACTTATGTTGCAAAAGGACACAAACTGGAGAACAGTCCAAAAAAATGTATTTCTAGCCCTGTCACATGCTTTTTCCTGCATATAGCAACAAATTCTGTGTGTGGTAGTGCTGGCATTTTTCCTCCCATGAGGATGCATAGAATGTCAGCACCTGTTTACAGTTGCTGTAACAACTGTAAGTCACAATGGCTTTTCCATGTGAAGAGGGAGGAACAAAGTGGGGAGAGTTGGATAAAAATATGTATGAACAGGTGCATGAATCAAATAAGTCCCCAGAGGTAGAAAAAGAGGATCTATGTGTAGCTTCTCACACAGATCACTCCTCCTATCTGTAGTCAGCAAATGGATTTTGATAACCTGAGAACAAAATTAGAATGGAAGGATTTAGGTGGGGAACAAAAAGAACCAGAACCAACGAAATAAGAGCACAGCCTCTACCAAGAATACAACAAAACAGGAGAATTTTTTTTTTTAAGTTTAAATGTTTGGAGCTCCATCTTCTGGTTATGAAGCGGGATAGAATTGAAATGCACTATTAATCATAAAAGCTAAAATGTATCAATAGGAACTGTGTTAAACGTATCATCTCATTTAATTTATCTGCCCTGCCAAATAAACTACCAACTCTTGAACATGAAAATTAAGGTAGTTCATATTCTAGCTCCAACCTCGTTTCATCATTCATTTAACAAGCTTATACTAGAGCCTAATAGGCAAACAGTATTATGTTTTACATGTCTGGGCTTTCTGGGAAGTACAAACCCATCATTCTTGACACCTACTTTCAAGGAGTGACTCTTTAATTGCCATCAAAACACATAATGAGAAAAATGCCACAAGACAGCCAAAAAACTGAGTTTCCAAAGTGTGATAGAGGGATAAGTCAGACTCTGAACACACACCCCACTGGGGAACCTGAAAATCTAGATCATGGGAAAAGGAGTTAACCTTACCTAGAGCTGAAATGGATTTAGGGACCCAGGTGAAATATAAAAGTAGAAGAAGCAGTGTGAAGAGCCCTGTAGGCACTCCCAGTCCCCAGCTCAACCCAGGGAAGCCATTCCTGGCCTAATCTCACAGAGGTCCTTGGGGAAGGGAAGGCAGCCAGCAGAACTGGGGAGGGACCACAGGGTGAAGGAAGCTCCCAGCTGAACTTTGTAATAATTTCAACTGAGCACAAATTTTCCTGACCACAATTGGTGGTGGTAGGGGGATGGTGAATGGGAAGTGCCGATACAAGTATACAAGCCACAGCTGATGGCGTGGGCAGGCAGGAAGCAGCAAAGCCTGAGAGCCCTGTGTGCTTTCTCAGTGGGGAGGATTGTAGCCTGGGGCAAGATCTCAGCCCTGCCCACCAGCTGCCTATATATAAACTCAGTGTGGTTGGGGGGCATAGTGGGAGTGAGACTGGCCTTAGTGGCTGCATAGGAGCTGGGTGATGTCTGTCACTGCTAGCTTTCCCCTACCTCCCTGGTGGCCTGTATGATGCAGCAGAGGCAGCCATAATCCCCCTGGGAACATAACCCCATTGGCCTGAGAACCACCCCCATCCCCGACAGTGGCCACAACAAGCCTCACCCAGAAAGAATCTGAGCTCAGACCCACCTAACCCTGCCCTGACCTGATGGCTTTTCTCTACCTGCCCTGGTAGCTGAAGACAAAAGACAAAAACTCTTGGGAGCTCTATGCTCTATGGCCCTACCCATTGCCTGAGAAACCCAAGTACTCATTCTGGCCAACATAGGGTAAGATTATATCCCCCTTCTACTAGATGCTGTCTTGAAAGCACCATCTCCTGGCTGGAGGCCAACCAACTCAATACATTACAGCAAGTCAGAACAACCCTGCTCCAAAGAAGGAGAAAACAACAGCTAATTCCACTGCCTGCAACAACCTGGCTAACCAGAGGTCCTGAGCCTGTCCACATGAAAGCTTCACTGCTAGCATAACCAGCATTTGAGAAAACAAGTACACTAAACAAAATTACAACAAAGGACTTTCACAGAGTCCACTTCATTCCCTTGCCACCTCCACCAGACCGGGTGCTGGTATGTATGGCTGGGAGAGCTGAAGATGGATCACATCACATGACTCTTTGCAGACATTTTCCAGCATGAGCCAGGAATCCAGTAGCCCCATTGGGTGACTAGACCCCGAAGGGCAATAACAATCACTGCAGTCTGGCTGTCAGGAAACCCCATCCCTAGGGGAAGGGGGAGAGCACCACATCAAGGGATCACCATGTGGGATGAAAGAATCTGAACAGCAGCCCTTGAGTTCCAGAATCTTCCACTGAAAAAGTCTATCCAAATAAGAAGGAGCCAAAAAGTAACTGTTCATATGACAAAACGAGATTCTATCACACCCCCAAAAGATCGCATTAGCTCTCCAGCTATGGCTTCAAACCAAGAAGAAATCTCTGAATTGCCAGATAAAAAGTTCAGAAGATTGATTATTAAGCTACTCAAGGAGGCACTAGAGAGAGATGAAAACCAACTTAAAGAAATTAAAAAAAAATACAGGATATGGATGAAAAAGCCTCCAGTGAAACAGATATCATAAAGAACAGACAATCACAACTTACGGAAATGAAAGACACCCTTAGAGAAATGCAAAATACACTGGAAAATTTCAACAATAGAATCAAACAAGTAGAAGAAAGAACTTCAGAACTTGAAGACAAGGCTTTCAAGTTAATTCAATTCAACAATGACAAAGAAAAAGCAAAAAAATTGAACAAAGCCTCCAAAAAATTTGGGATTATGTTAAACAACCAAACATAAGAATAATTGGTGTTCCACGGAAGAAGATAAATCTAAAAGTTTGGAAAGCTTATTTGAGGGAATAATCGAGGAAAACTTCCCTGGTTTTGCTAGAGATCTAGACATCCAAATATAAGAAGCTTAAAGAACACCCAGGAAATTCATTGCAGAAAGATTATAACCTAGGCACATAGTCATCAGGTTACCTAAAGTCAGAATAAAGAAAAGAATCTTAAGAGCTGTGAGGCAAAAGCATCAGGTAACTTATAAAGGAAAACCTGTCAGATTAACAGCAGATTTCTCATCAGAAACCCTGCAAACTAGAAGAGATTGGGGTCCTATCTTTAGCCTCCTTAAACAAAATAATTATTAGCTAGGAATTTTGTATCCAGCTAAACTAAGCTTCATAAATGAAGGAAAGATACAGTCTTTTTCAGTCAAACAAATCCTGAGAGAATTTGCCTCTATCAAGCCAGTACTACAAGAAATGCTAAAGGGAGTACTAAATCTTGAAATAAAACCTCAAAATACCCCAAAATGGAACTTCTTTAAAGCATAAATCTCACAAGACGTACAAAACAATAACACACACACACACAAAATGAGGTATTCAGGCAACAACTAGCATGATGAATAGAACATTACCTCACATTTCAATACTAACGATGGCCTAAATGCTCCACTTAAAAGATGCTGAATGGCAGAATGGATAAGAATTCACCAACCAAATATCTGCTGTCTTCAAGAGACTCACCTAATACATAAGGACTCACATAAACTTAAGGTAAAGGGGTGGAAAAATATATTCCGTGCAAATGGAAACCACAAGTCATCAGGAGTAGCTATTATTAGACAAAACAGACTTAAAGTCTGTTAAAAACAACAACAGTTTAAAAAGACGCAGAGGGACATTATATAATGATAAAAGGATTAGTCCAACAGGAAAATATCACATTCCTTAATATATATGCACATAACATTGGGGCTTTCAAGTTTATAAAACAATTACTACTAGACGTAAGAAATAAGATAGATGCCAACACAATAATAGTGGAGGACTTCGATACTCCACTGAAAGCACTAGACAAATAATCAAGACAGAAAGTCAACAAAGAAACAGTGGACTTAAACTATACCCTAGAATAAATGGACTTAACAGATATTTATAGAACATTCTACCCAACAGCTGCAGAATATACATTCTTCTCTTCAGCACATGGAACATTCTCCAAGAGATGCCATATGATAGGCTGCAAAACAAGTCTCAGTAAATTAAAAAAATCGAAATTATATCAAGTACACTCTCAGACCACAGTGGAATAAAATTGGAAACTAACTCCAAAAGGAACCCTCAAAACTATACAAATACATGGAAATGAAATAATCTGCTCCTGAATGATGTTTGGGTCAACAATGAAATCAAGATGTAAATTAAAAAATTATTTGAACTGAACAATAATAGTGACACAGCCTATCAAAACCTCTGAGATACAGAAAAAGTGATGCTAAGAGGAAAGTTCATAACATTAAATGCCTACGTTAAAAAGTCTAAAAGAGCACAAATAGACAATCTAAGCTCACATCTCAAAGAACTAGAGAAACAAGAACAAACCAAACCCAAGCCCAGCAGAAGAAAAAAAAAAAAACAAAGATCAGAGCAGAACTAAATGAAATTGAAACCAAAAAAATACAAAAGATAAATGAAACAAAAAGCTGGTTTTTGAAAAGATATACAAAATCAATAGACCGTTAGTGAGATTAACCAAGAAAAGAAGAGAGAAGATCCAAATAAATTGAATTAGAAATGAAATGGGAGATATTACAACCGATACCACAGAATTACAAAAGATCATTCAAGGCTACTATGAACACCTTTATGTGCACAAATTGGAAAACCTAGAGGAAATGGATAAATTCCCGGAAATATACAAACCTCCTAGATTAAGCCAGAAAGAGGCCAGGTGTGGTGGCTCATGCCTGTAATCTCAGCACTTTGAGAGGCCAAGGCGGGCAGATCACTTGAGGCCAGGATTTCGAGGCAAGCCTGGCCAACATGGCAAAACCCTGTCTCTCCTAAAAATACAAAGGTTAGCCGGGTATAGTGGAGCATGCCTGTAATCCCAGCTGTTCGGCTGGCTGAGGCAGGAAAATCGCTTTAACCTGGGAGGTGAAGGTTGCAGTGAGCCAAGACTGCACCACTGTACTCCAGTCTGGGTGACAGAGCAAGACTCTGTTCAAAAAACAAAACAAAACAAAACCCAAAACCAAAAAACAAACAAAAAACAGGAAGAAATAGGAACTCTGAACAGAGCAATAACAAGTAACAAGATTGAAACAGTAATTTTAAAAAGCCAACAAAAAAAATGTTCAGGACCAGATGGATTCACAGCTGAATTCTGTCAGACATTCAAAGAAGAACTGGTACCAATCCTACTGAAACTATTCCAAAAGATAAAGTTCTAAATCTTGAAATAAAACCTCAAAATACACCAAAATGGAACTTCCTTAAAGCGTAAATAGATACAGATAGAGGCAATCCTCCCCAAATCATTCTATGAACCCAGTATTACCCTAATATTAAAACTAAGAAAGGACCTAAGTAAATAAGAAAACTATAGACCAATATCCTTGATGGACAGAGATGCAAAAATCCTCAACAAAATACTAGCTAACCGAATCCAACAGCATATCAAAAAGATAATAGGCCGGGTGCGGTAGCTCATGCCTGTAATCCCAGCACTTTGGGAGGCCGAGAAGGGCAGATCACGAGGTCAGGAGATTGAGACCATCCTGGCTAACACGGTGAAACCCTGTCTCTACTAAAAATACAAAAAGTTAGCCGGGCGCGGTGGCCGGCCCCTGTAGTCTCAGCTACTCGCGAAGCTGAGGCAGGAGAATGGCGTGAACCCGGGAGGCGGAGCTTGCAGTGAGCCGAGATTGCACCACTGCACTCCAGCCTGGGCGACAGAGCAAGACTCCGTCTCAAAAAAAAAAAAAAAAAAAAAAAAGATAATACACCATGTTCAAGTGGGTTTCATACCGGGTATTCAGGTATTCAAGTCAATAAATATGATACACCACATAAATAGAAGTAAAAACAAAAATATGATTATCTTAATAGATGCAGAAAAAGCATTTGACAAAATCCAGCATCCCTTTATGATTAAAACTCTCAGCAAAATCAGCAAAGAAGGGACATACCTTAAGGTAATAAAAGCCATCTATGACATACTCACAGACAACTTTATAACAAATGGGGAAAAGTTGACAGTATTTCCCCTGAGAACTGGAACAAAACATGGATGCTCACTTTCACCACTTCTATTTAGCATAGTACTGGAAGTCCTAGCCAGAGCAATCAGACAAAAGAAAGAAATAAAAGCATCCTAACTGGTAAAGAGAAAGTCAAACTGTCACTGTTTGCCAGTGATATGATTGCATAGCTAGAAAACCCTAAAGACCCATCCAAAAAGCTCCTGGATCTGGTAAATGAATTCAGTAAAATTTCAGGATAAAAATATCATGTACACAAATCAGTAGTACTGCTATACACCAACAGTGACCAATCTGAAAAATCAAGAATGCAACCCCTTTTACAGTAGCTGCAAACAAACAAACAAACAAAAAACAAACAAACAACAACAACAAAAAAACCCTTAGGAATATACCTAACAAAAGAGGTGAAAGATCTTTACGAAGAAAACCATAAAACACTGCTGAAAGAATTCACAGACGACACAAACAAATGGAAACACATTCCATGCTCACTGACGGGTAGAATCAATATTGTGAAAATGACCATACTGCCAAAAGCAATGTATAAATTCAATGCAATTGCCATCAAATACCATCATCATTCTTTAAAGAACCAGAAAAAAATAATCCTAAAATTCATATGGAACCAAAAAAGAGCCCACATATCCAAAGCAAGACTAAATAAAAAGAACAAATCTGGAGACATCACATTACCCGACTTCAAACTATGCTACAAGTTTATAGTCACCAAAATAGCATGGTACTGTTATAAAAACAGGCATGTAGACCAATGGAACAGAATAGAGAACCCAGAAATAAAGCCAAATACTTGCAGCCAACTGATCTTTGGCAAAGTAAACAAAAACATAAAATGGGCAGAGGACACATTATTCAAGAAACAGTGCTGGGATAATTGGCAAGCCACATGTAGAAGAATGAAACTGGATCCTCATCTCTCACCTTATACAAAAATAAACTTAAGATGGATCAAAAACTTAAATCTAAGACCTGAAACCATAAAAATTCTAGAAGACAACATTGGAAAAATTCTTCTAGACATTGGCTTAGGCAAAGAGTTCATGACCAAGAACCCAAAAGCAAATGCAAAACAAAAACAAAAACAAAACAAAAAAAAAACAACAACAAAAAACAAAACCCAAAGATAAATAGATGTGTCTTAATTAAACTAAAAAGCTTCTGCACAACAAAAGAAATATTCAGCAGAGTAAACAGACAACCCGCAGAGTAGGAGAAAATATTTGCAAACTATGCATCCGACAAAGGACTAATACCCAGAATCTACAAGGAACTCAAACAAATCAGCAAGAAAAAAAACAAATAATCCCATCAAAAAGTGGGCAAAGAACATGAATAGACAATTCTCAAAAGAAGATATTCAAATGTCCAACAAACATATGAAAAAATGCTCAATATCACTAATAATCAGGGAAATGCAAATCAAAACCACAGTGTGATACCACTTTATTCCCACAAGAATGGCCATAATTAAAAAATCAAAAAATAATAGATATTGGCATGGATATGGTGAAAAGGGAACAGTTTTACACTGATGGTGGGAATGTAAACTAGTACAACCACTATAAAAAACAGTGTGGAGATTACTTAAGGAACTAAAAGTAGAACTACAATTTGATCCAGCAATCTCACTACTGGGTATCTAACCAGAGGAAAACAAGTCACTATATGAAAAAGTCACTTGCACACGCATGTTTATAACAGCACAATTCACAATGCAAAATTATGGAAGCAGCCTAAATGCCTATCAACCAAAGAGTGGATACAGAAACTGTGGAATACTACTCAGCTATTTTACAAAGGAATGAAATAATGCTATTTGCAGCAACATGGTTGGAATTGGAGACCATTATTATAAGTGAAGTAACTCAAGAATGGAAACCCAAACAACGAATGTTCTCACTTATAAGTGAGAAATAAGCTATGAGGATGCAATGGCATAAGTATGATATAATGAACTCTGGGGGCCCTAGGAAAAGTGTGTGAGGTGGGGGTGAGGAATAAAAGACTACACATTGGGCACAGTGTACACTGCTCAGGTGATGGGTGCACCAAAATCTCAGAAATCACACCTAAAGAACTTATCCAAGTAACCAAGCACTACCTGTTCCCCCAAAACTATTGAAATAATAATCACTTTCAAAAATAGAAGTAAACCCCACACACATTGATTATTTTACACTTAGTATGAATTACACAAATAATACATGAACAATGCTTCTTTCCCCAGATTGAAACTTCACAGAAATGATGAAACTTTTCTTTGACTAGCACCACAGCCATAATCTCTTACTTCCTCCTAGCAGTAATCATAGTTGTAGGTTTGTGGATGCTTCTGAATATTATTTAAGCTGTAATATACATGTAAATGTACACATAGAAAATTGATTGTTACTTCTTGTAAACTTGAGTAGAGGTGTATTATGTATGAGAGTGTTTTAAGTACACTATTGTCTACTTAAAAAACCAATAGAGGGGACTCTCTAAAAGAAAACATTTATTTAGGAATGGGGCTTTGCAATGGAAATATACATACCATAGTAAACTATGTATATATTCAGAGAGGTAAAGGAAGACAAAGATTTTTAAAGGAAAAATGACAATTGTATAATTGTTTTGTGATAATTAGTTTTGGCTACAAGGATCAATACAAAGGGTGGTGCCAATCTGAGGTTGGAAGGGCAGTTGCTGGGCAGATGTTCTTACAAAAGTATTTTTTGTGTGTAGGGTTGTGATAACCTTTCTGCAAATTTGTGGGTTTTTTTCAGAGCCTTTTGTGATAGTTCTTGTTATGAGGGCTTAGTGCGTGAGAATTCTGTCTTCATGGCTTTCCCCAAGTCTATTTTTTTAGTTTTTAACACTAGTGACTCCATTTTGATTCTGACAACTTTCACATTTCCCCCTTTGGATCAGGATCTTTCTCCAAAGCGTCACTGATGAATCATCCTGTAGTTAGGGTTTGATTGTCCTTCAGTCCTGGGATAGACCAGTCCTGGTTTGGTCTGGTCTTCCCATGTTTGAGGGAAGTGGTTGGCAAGTAGGAGTCAGTATCAGAACATTTTTAGCCACATTTGAGCAACAAGGGAGCTTAGGAGGGAGTGGCTTTCAGGCTAAGGCTACCTGGAATCCATTGTTAAGTTAATTTTGTCAGTTCCATAGGTCTTTGTTATCATCTCAAAGTGCGTGGCCAGTATTATTCTATCAGGAGTCATACTTCTCCAAAAACTTAACAAGCAATAGGTATAAGGTTTTAAAAAGGGAAAATGCAAAGTAAATTAATAAGCTTAGTTTGTATAAAAGTTTTGAGTCATGGACTAGGCTTAAAGGCTACTACTTGAATAAATCAAGTAGTAGGATTGTGGGAAATCCTACTGTGGGAAATTAAGTAAGACTTGTAACCATGTGGCCTGTTTTCTCCTTTTGTGTTTATGGATCTCAACTTTCCCAGAGGAATATACCCAGGTACAGCATGTAGTATTAGCAATAGCTACAGACATCTCCTTATTAGCCAATAGTTAATATTGAGCAATTTTGTCATCTAATATCTTATGACTGGATTTAATGAAAGCAGAGAGTGATCAATCATTGTACTGGGGATGATGCCAAAGTCATCTACTAGGTGGACTAAAGGATCTCCTTGCTTGGGTGTGGTGGTTCATGCCTATATTCCTAACTCTTTGGGATCCCAAGGCAGGAGGATCACTTGAGGTCAGGAGTTCAAGACCAGCCTGGGCAATATAGTGAGATCCTGTCTCTACAAAAAGTAAAAAAATAAATTGAGCATAGTGGTATGTGCCTGTAGTTCTAGCTACTTGGGAGGCTGAGATGGGAGGACTGCTTAAGCACAGGAATTTGAGGCTGAAGGGAGCTATGATTGCATCACAGATTAGGACCCATCTCTAAAAAAAAAGAAAAGAAAAGAAAAAAAGGATGTTCTAGGATAGGTTCTGTCAAGTTACCAGCAGAAGGTTCTGATTGTTAACTTTTAATGTCACCATTATCTTGCCAAGTGAAAAAGGTGGGCATTAAGAGAGGTAAGAGTCTCATTATGATATGGAGGGTTGTTCTGAGGTCTTGGGAAAAGCTGTCTGAGGAATGAAGACATTAACTTCTTATCCTGGTTTGCAGTTTCAATGTCCCTGGCTATGGCATCAGGTGGTTTGTTTAACTTTCTGTGTGACACATCCATCAGTCATGAAACTTATCCCTTAAAATTCATCTAGTTTTAGTTTTCAGGGCTTCAGAACAAAAGAGGTCTCATTTTTAGTAATTCCATGGGAGAAAGTTGAATTGGAGGACTCTAGAAGAATTCAGGATATAGTCTAGTCTGTAGGTAGATAGCAAGGACTCAAAAACAATGCACAAGGCTACAGTCTAATAACACATATATTATAGCTTTTCTTTAGAAACATAAGTTTTTATCTCTATATTGATCACATGAAAATCTCAGATTTAAAACCTTTTGAGGCTAGGAAGTCAAACCAAGGTAGATTTTAGGTTTTACCTACCATCTTAAGGTTTTTGGGGCCTGCCAGGAAGTGACAATATTTACTCACTCACTATAAGGCTGGAAACCCTTGAAACCAGGCATTCTATGCACGTTCTCAAATATGATATTCCAGTCAATGCCTTGGTAATATAGCCAATGCTTCCAATTGTATTCTGTTATAAAGAGAAAGTAGATTTTTACTGAACTTATCCAAATAACCATACAGCCATAAGAATACTCATGAAGAGTTTCCAAATTTTGGAGGGATCAAGTAAGAAGAAAAAGTAAATATTTCCACCTTTGTTCTCAAAAGTATGCTTTACCGTATTGCTTTAAACTATAGATAGCTTAAGAAAAAAGTTACCTTAAATTTGGAAAACAAAACACTTAGGAGTCAAAAATCTTTCAAATTAAAGTCATAAAAACATTATCTTCAGCAGTTACTTAATGTCATGTAATTTTTGTTCTGCTTGATCTTGATGAGTAGTTTCATGAATTCAGCAGTTTCTTCATTAGAATTCTAAAAAAATTAATTAATCAACTTTAGTTATTAAAATCTGTATTTTAATTCTTCTTCTTTTTCCTTCCTCCTCATTCTTCTCCTTTCTTCCTTCTTTCCTTCCTTGTTCCCTCCCTCCTTTCCTTCATTCCTGCTCCTTCCTTCCTTCTTTCCTTCCTTCCTTGTTTCCTTCCTTCCTTCCTTTTCTTCTTCTCCTTCTCCTTCTTTCTCTTCCTCTCTCCCCTCCCCCTTTCCCTCTCGCTCCCCCTCCTGCTCCCGCTCCTCCTCCTCCTCCTCCTTCTTCTTCTTCCTGTTCTTCTTCTTCTTCCTCTTCCTCCTCCTCCTCCTTCTGTATTCTTCTTCCTTCTTCTTTCCTCTTCCTCCTTCTGTATTCTTCTTCCTTCTTCTTTCCTCCTTGTTTTTTCTTTTTTGAAGACAAGATCTGGTTCTATCGCCCAGGCTGGAGAGCAGAGTGGTGCGATCATGGCTCACTGCAACCTCACCTCCTGTGCTCAAGCCATCCTCCCACCTCTGCCTCCTGAGTAGCTGGGATTACAGGAATGTGCCACCACACCCAGCTGATTTTTTATTTTATTTTATTTTTAGTAGAGACAAGGTCTCCCTACATTGCACAGGCTGGTCTCGAACTCCTGAGCTCATGCAATCCACTCACCTTGGCCTCCCAAAATGTCTCCTTACATTGCCCAGGCTGGTCTCGAACTCCTGAGCTCATGTAATCCACTCACCTTGGCCTCCCAAAATGTTGGGATTACAGGCATGAGCCACCACACCCAGCCGAAACCTGTTTTTAAAATAAAAAAAAATTGATGTATAATAGTTGTCACATTTTTGGGGTACATGTGGTATTTTGATACCTGTATACAATGTGTAATGATCAAATCAGGGTACCTGGGATATCCATCACCTCAAACATTCATCTTTTGTTTGTGTTGGAAATAGTACAAATTTTCTTTTCTAGCTATTTTGAAATACAGAATAAATTATTGTTAACTATAATTTCCCTTCTGTACTACTGAATACTAGAACTTATTCCTTCTATCTAACTGTATTTTGTACCCTTAACCAACCTCTCTTCATGCCTCCCTCCCCACTTTTCTTCCTAGCCTCTGGTAACCATTTTACTCTCTACCTCCATGAGAGCCAATTTTTTTGCTTTCGTATATGAATGAGAACGTGCTATATTTGTTTTTCTGTGCCTGGCTTATTTCACTTAGCATAATGACCTGCAGTTCCACCTATGTTGCTGCAAATTACAGGATTTTACTCTTTATTAATGGCTGAATTAGATTCCATTGAGTATATCTATATACATGACATTTTCTTTCATTCATGTATATCTGTATACATGTATATAGATATATTCATGTATATTTATATACATGCATATAGATATATTCATGTGTATTTATATACATGCATATAGATATATTCATGTGTATTTATATACATGTATATAGATATATTCATGTGTATTTATATACATGACATTTTCATTCATCTATTGATTGACAATTTGAAAAAATTTCTGTTTTTATTTTATCAACAAATTCAAGGCCAGTTTATTGGGCCAGGGGTGGTGGCTCATCCCTATAATTTCAGCATTTTGGGAGGCTGAGGTGGGATAATCGCTTGAGGCCAGGAGTTTCAGACCAGCCTGAGCAACATGGTAAAACTCTGCCTCTACAAAAAATACAAAAATTAGCCAGGCATGGGGGTACATACCTGTAGTCCCAGCTACTTGGGAGGCCGAGGTGGGAGGATTGATTGAGCACAGGTGTTTGAGGCTACAATGAGCACCACTGCACTCCAGCCTAGGAACAAAGCAAGACCCCACCTCAAAACAAACCACCCCCTACCAATAAAACACCAACAGCTTATTTATCAAAGATTTACTTAAGTTGTATGAACTAAAAGGCATTTGGATTAATTACTATATATTTTATGATTGCTTATTTATCTGAGCTAATCCGAATAGGATTTCTTAAGGAATTTCTAGCCAAGTACACCAGATTTTACAATTTAGACACAGCATACAACACATGTCAACACACATAAACACATATACATGCACACAATAAAGATCTTATAGCTTTAATTTTAGAATTTCAGTCACTAGATAGTAAAGCATAGTAATACAAACTCACAAGTTTATAAAAAAATAGTTGGACCCAAATTGTATTTTTGACAAAATGGGACCTGTTCAGGTGGATAAGTGTTATTTTCCCTAATAGATAATCTAAGAAAAGCTGTGGACCAAAATTTTTAGGTAAAGCATCTTGGTTTTAAATAAATCTCACATCTTTTTTTCCAGTTTTAAATGAGTTTAGGGTTAAATTTTCAATTGTTTACATTTTAGCTGGGACTGGCTAAATTCTGTAAGAAAGTCAAAATCTCCAAGTTGCCTTAAATTTTTTAGTAACAAATCTTTCTTTTGTTTGCTGATCTGGTTTTCTTGACTAGACAATGCGGACAGGGAAGCATTTTGGCAGGTTTTTTTTTGTTTGTTTTTTTTTTTTGGTCAGCGTTTCTGGCCCCCGTGTAACAGACAGACAAAGCAATTTTTATGCCAGAGATACCTTGTATTATTGCGCTAAGTTCAAGATTTTGACCTATTTGATCTGAGACCTTAATTTGTATAAACACATATCTCTTTATGTCCGTATAGAATATCAATCCTTCAATTAACTGTTTCATCACCCTAAGCAATTAATAGTTAGGGAAACCTCAATTTACATTTCCAAAAGGTGTCTAGGTTGTTGGCTGCCATGAAGCGGTTGTAATTTGTAAAGCCATTAATTTGAAAGCCCTTTAAGATTTTTATCCTTATCCTGGTTAAAATGCTCTAAAAAAAGATCTAAGCAGCTTTTGAAATTAGCAACAGTGTGTTATCTTAACACAAATGAAAAAGTTAACAGATTTAGAGTATCCAGAAAAAAAAAGATAACTAAAAAGACTCTACATGTTAACTCTATAGTTGATTGCAGTTTCTAATTGAATTCTAAGAAAAAAACAAGGTTGGGGACTTCAAATGATATTCATGATGGCCATTAATTTAAAAACATGCACGAGGAAAAGCCATGTAGCCAGCTGGAGTCCCAGAAAGCTTGACATGCCTGAATGTTTGAGAATCCCATTCTGTTTCTGACTAATTTCTCCAGAGCAAAGAAAATTCTATAAATCCTGTCAGGAAGTTTACACTGGTGGTTTAGATCATGGTGACCATCCCAGTGGCTTTTAATTGGCCATATCATGCCTACTATTTAGAATGTTTATTTTTGCTCTTGGAAGATGTTCAGAAACAAGTAAGGGAAAAAGAGCCAAATCATTTACAGACACACATAACCTAACCAAAATGAAACCAAAATCAGAGTGCTCACAGAATTTTTAACCCAGCCATGCAGATCAAACAAAATATTAAGCCGGATGCACCAAATCAAAAGTGAATTCACCAGAAAAGAATGCCTCACAGACAGAATGTAAACTCCGTAGAAACCAGATAACTCAAACCAGAAGGACACTTGTCTTTTACCAGAAAGGGCTCGCCAGAAATAACTTTTATAGTCCCAGGAGGGATGCAAGGTCCTTTATTTAAGGTGGCCTTATAACCAAATCAGATCCCAAATAAAGTAAAAAAGAACTCACCAAAGGGAGGGAGTCCAAGAGTCCTAGAGAAGATTCACTATGGAAGAAAAGGCAACATTGAAGTCAGTACTGCACTCAATTCCACAGGCCACCAATCCATCAAAGGTGAGCTAACTTTGGCCTCACTGCTGACACCATTAATGCGAAACTAAATAACAGAGAGGAAGATTCTCTAAAAGAAAATGATATTTTTTTGCGAATAGGAATACAATGGGAATACACATGCCATAGTAAACTATGTGTGTGTTCAGGAGGGTAAAAGAAGACAATGTTTTCTTTTTAAATGAGAAGAATTACATAATTGGTTTGAGATAATTATTTTTGGTTACAGAGATCAATACCAAGGGTGATGACAGTCCAAGGCTGACAGACAATTGCTGGGTAGATGTCTACAGGAGTATTTTTTTTTTCTTTTTGGTATACAGTTGCAATGGCCTTTGTGCAAGTTTGTAGTTTTTTCAGAGTCTTTGGTGATAGTTCTTGTTATCAGGCATTGGTGCATGAGAACCCTCTCTTCATGGCCTTCTGAGGCTCTGTCTTTTAGGATTTTTAACACAAGTGGCTCCATTTTGATTCTGACAACTTTCACAGTATAATTCTATACCACTGTATGCCATTGCTCTTTACCCTTAGCAATATATCTTGGGAATTTACACATGATTTTATATATATATATATATATATATATATATATATATATATATATATATATATATATATCTCCAGTTTATTCTTTTTAATAGTAACATGGTATTACATAATATTTAGTCTGTCTCCTTTGTAGGCTTGTTTGCAGAATTGTAGGCAATGCTTCAATAAACATTATTGTGCACATGGGTATTTCTCTAGGCGAGATACTGAGAAGTGGAATCACTAGGCCAAAAGGTAAGCTTAGTTTTGTTTTTGGTGGATAATGATTATTGCCCTTCAAAGTGGCAGTCGCAATGAAAGGGGTTTTTTCTCCGCACTACTCTGTCTACACATCTGCTGACACTTGATATAGCCAAATTGTATTTGGTCAATCTAATAGCTTAGAACTGGTATTTTATTATTGTTTTTACTTTTATTTCCCTGGTCATTTATTCTTTTATGTTTAATGACTATTTCATCTATTGTTCTGGGGCTTGCCTCTTATTCTTTACATTTTCATATCTTTTAATCTATTTTTATTGGGTTGTTCTTATGTTGGATATGTAGTAATTCTTTTTTATATTCAGTATGATAATTTGTTATACATGTGTAAAATTTTTTCTGGATTATTGCATCTTCTAAAAACTTTGCCTGGAATATTGTTTATCATATATGTTTTATTTTTAACTAATACATCAATTAGATAAATTTCTGATACATATTCCTTATAGCCTCAAGCATATATATACTCATATTTTTATGTATATTGTATTAGTGTGGGCAGAGCCTTACCCAAATCCCCTTGAGGCTTACCACTTAGCACAGCTGCCTTAACTGTATCTGTGTGTCTTTCCCTGACAGCTTTCTCCTCTGCTGGAGAAGAGGAATTTCTGCTCCTCAGTCTGGGAGCAGTTCTGACCTTGATTGTTGTGGTTGGTTTTTAATTCTCTGCTCCTCTTGACCTTTGAGTCGACACTGGCTCCTGGAGTTTCCAGCTAGATTAGGCTCCAGTAGTGGTAATTTACTTAATAATACACACTTTGTGTGCTGCCTTCCCTTCCTTGACTCCCTTCCTCCCCTTCCTATCAGTGATTCCTGTGGCCCCCTTTCAAATAAACTATTTGTAGTTGGATCTTTGAGTCATGGTCTTCTTCTGGGGGAACACAAACTAAGTGCTATCTTTTAGTCAGCACTTACTCTGTGCCAGGCAGCAGCTAAGAGTCTGTTTTTATGCAGTGTGTAATCACATTATCTCCATTTTGTAAATGAAGAAACCACAGTTGAAGTTAAATAAGCTACTTGGGGATGTTCATCAAGTAAGTGACAAAAATACAATTTGAACCAAGACCCTCTGACTTTCAAAACCCATATTTTTGACCATTAGATTCAGAAACAACTGCCTTTCTAGCATATCCCTCACTCATTTTCTCATGAAAATTCTTCTCCTTAATGGTCCTATTCAGAGGACAGTTCCTCAATAAAAGATTCCTTGGTATTATGTTCAGAATTAATTTTTCCCTTCCTGGATTTTCATATGACCGACTGCCTTTCTTTTGGAATGTAATACGCTGTCTTTTGTTTATAGGTGTGAATATCTCATTTTCTGTGCTGTATAGAATAGTTCTTGGGTGCCTAACACATACCAGGTGCTTTAAAAATGTTTTCTTTAAGGAATTATTATGAATTCCTTTAGGGCAAGGAGTATGTCTCTATATTGCCTAGCTCATGTTTTACATTAAGGAGTTCAATGAGAGCTCATTGGATTGAAGTTCAGGAACAAGATCATCTGCTAGAGGACAGAGCATATACACTTTAGAAAGGACAGAATTGGGGAAGTAATTTATAGATATTGACGCAATAAGTAGGCTAGTTCATGACCTAAAGAAATTTGAAAATGAGTACAATTTAAATTGGCCTATAGGTTTGTGAATCCAGCTAAAGGCTAATTCAGTGCCTTCATAGGATATCTTTCTTTATCTCTTCTGTTCCTAGTCTAGTACTAGGCATTATTGTATAATGGAAAGACACCTATAAAAGAAAAGAAATATCTGAGGCTCTCATGTCTTCGCAGGAGTTCACATTTAAGAGAATAAATGAAAAAAGGAAACTTTTTTTTTTAAAAACAGGGTCTCACTCTGTTGCCCAGGCTGAAGTGTGGTGGTGTGATCATAGCTCATTACAGCCTTGAACTAGGCTCAAACACCACCTCAGCCTCCTGATAAGCTGGGATTACAGATGCATGCCACCACAAATTTTTAGTAGAGATGAGGTCTCTCTATGTTGCCCAGGTTGGTCTTGAGCTCCTGGGCTCAAGCAATCCTCCTGCCTTGGCCTCCCAAAATGTTGAGATTATAGGTGTGAGCCACCTTGCCTGGCCCATTTTTAAAAAATAATTTAAACTTTTATTTTAGATTCAGGGGGTACATGGGCAGGTTATATGGGCATATTGCATGATGCTGAAAGGAAACTTAAAAATAAATTATCAAAGAGTAGAAAATTTGTTTGAAAAAATGTGTATTAAATTGCTGAAGCACTATAGAGGAATAATAAGAATGTGCTGTTGGCTAGCCAGGGAAAAGTTCCAGAAACAGGTGAAGGTTGAACCAAAACAATTATGTGATGGTTGCTATTTGGTAGAAAGCAGTGAGCAGAGCACTTTGACTAGTATGAAAAAATAGTGCAGGGTCTAGAATTAGTGTGTTGTATTTATGGAGGATGCAGAGTGGATGGGCTTTGCTGGTGGAAAGACTTTGCTGGATGTGCTTAATACCCCCAAAAGAGGGACTGTAGGCAA
This sequence comes from Homo sapiens, assembly GCF_000001405.40. Lineage (NCBI taxonomy): Eukaryota > Metazoa > Chordata > Mammalia > Primates > Hominidae > Homo > Homo sapiens. Next base: position 86,504,911 of record NC_000004.12, on the reverse strand, counting down.
ACTGGGAGGCAGGTGAAATTGGACTTGAGAGTTCTAGCACATGAATCTTGTAGCACTTCTTTTCCTCTTCTGGCTCTTCCTTTCCATTCCTCACCCCAGCCAGTCATCATGTGTCTTATTGCCAGCTCTTAGGCATATGCTCACTCAGGTGTAGATAATGATGATTTAGAATTTGAAACAGTAAATCAATTGGAGGATGGGGTGGAAAGTGGAGGGCAGGAAAAAGTTTTGCTAGTTAAGATACACATATTAGCAAAGGAACAGGTGTGAATGTTTATAGACAACTTGATGAAAAGGCAGTGGTTTCGTTTGGCTAGAGCAGTGAGCTTCCTAATGTTTTTGAGTAAGAACACCCCTTGTTAATAAGAAAAAATTGGTAGGTTCCTACATAATAGTAAACTGTACTGCTACTATCCTTTGGAAAAATACATGTTGGTAAGATTACTATAAATTAATACATTTTAAAGTAATAGTATAATATGGTAGTTAATTTAGTTTACAGACAATAATCGGAAGGATGTGGATTCACAGACCCCTTTACGTTACTTTACTACTTCCCAGATCTTTGGCCCACAGGTTGGATTTCACTGGGCTAGCATAGGATTTCTGTAGAGAGGTTCATTCTGTGAGACTCATTTATTCATTCACTCAAGAAATATTTATTGAATTAAGTGCAGTATGCTCTTTTAGGCTCTGGGAAAATAGTTGTAAAAGAAACTAAGACCCTCCCTCAGGGTGCTTATATTTTAGTGAGAAGAGACAGACAATAAAAAATATTACACAAATAACTATGATATTTCTAATGATGTTAAGTGTTACAGATAATAGGGATTATCTGGGTAGGCTGGGGGGAATGTTACTTTGATAGATTGGAGAGAGAACTCTCTACTATGGTGACATTTGTATAGACATTTGAATGAATTAGGGAGGGCCCTGTAGGTCTCAGGAAGAAGAGTGGAATGCGTACAAAGCCCAAGAGGTGGGAGCATGTTTGCTGTCCTTGGGTAAGAGCAAAAAGACTGGTGTGGCTAGAGTAGGATTAGGGAGATGAATAATTAATTGTGGTAGATGATGGGGTCTGGTAGTGCATAGCCAGCCATATTATATAGGATCTTGCAGGCCATTATAAGCACTTTGAATTTTACCCCAAATGAGATTTTTTAAAAAGCCATTGGAGGATTTAAATCAGAACAGTGACATAATCTGAAATGTTTTAAAATAATTACCATGGCTGTTTGTGAAATAGATTATTAGGTAAGCGTTGAAGCAAGGGACCAACTGTAGAAATCCAGGCTACAGATTAATTCTCAAATGCTTCTTATTGGTTGAATAAGATGAGGATGGAGAACTGACCCTTGGAATTGCAATGGAGAGGTTACTAAGGAGTGTGCACTCAATTTGTTAGGTAATAATGAGCCTTTGAAAGTTTTATAGGAAAGTGATACCATCAGTGTGGTACTTTATGAAAATTTATCAGTTGGTACCCACAGATGGGAAGAATTCGATTAGATGAAAAAGTCTGAGGATAGAGAGATATTTTAGGTACCCATTTCAACAATCTAATTGGAAAAGTATGGGAGCTGGAAGTAAAGTAGCAAAGGTGAGAATGGAACTGACATTTCAGAGTCTGAACTGGAAGAACTAGGCAACTGAAGGAATATAGAGCCAGAGACAAAAGAGTCTAAGTTAAAATTTTGAAATTGCATGATGAGAAAAATTGTGGTTGCATTAACAGAATTCAGAACATCAGGAACAGAATGAGTTTGTTTGGGAAAGATGATACCCTTAACTTTGGATGACATGGCTTTGAAATGCTAGACATCTAGGTTGACCTCATAACTCACCTTTAAATTATTATTCTTCCATCCTCTTTCAGCAGTCCCTCTTTTGAGATTCCAGAGGCATTGGAAACTGTAATCTTCTGAACTGAAGGATCCCACCCTTCTTCCTAGAATAAATCTTTGTTACTTGACTCTGTAGTCTATATTGATGATCCACACAGAATAAGCCTCACAAAAAAGTCTGTTATTTTTGTTTATGTGCTGAGTTTGAGGTGTTGGTGGTAAATTTTGGCAAAAATGTCTTTTAGAATGAAAATGTAAGTCCAGAATAAAGAAGAGAGATAAACGTTGACTGAAATGTGGGAGTCATTTTCTATCAAACTAAATAAGAACTCTAAAGGAAAGAATGTACCAAAGAGAATATTAATTATAGGTGCCAGAAGAATTCTCTGTAGTGGGAAAGTTAATTTGACATATGGAGGAGAGGCAATGTACATTTAAAAGCTATCAAGAATATGCCTCAAAAACTTTTTGTTTGGTCAATCACCTTGATGGGCCATATTACAGTGGAAAATAAAACTCAGAGCATGCTGAGGTATAGGAGTGATATAAAGAGAAACAAGAAGTTTTGTGAGTTTCAAAGGAATGGTCAAGAGAAATGTACTTCATATTATTAAGTCAATGCAAAGTAAAGCTAAGGAGAATTTAGCTTTACTTTGGAGAATTCAGTAGAAGCAAGAAATCCAAGCAAGAAATGACTCAGAATAATGTTAAGCTTCTTTAGAATTCATGAAGATACTTCAGGAGCGAGTTGGGGGATGCTGTTTTCCATTATATTCTGAATGGGTATTCTTCCCATTTTAATTTATAACACAAAAATATATGGCAATAGAATGGGGGTGGTTACTATTTTGGGGACATCCAAGTTGTAAATGTATGAGTCACAACACATTTAGAGGAGGAAAAAAAATGGAGATCAAAAAGTAGCCGTTAAAGAGGCAGAAGAAAATGGTTTCAGAATATTTCTAAAACTTGGATGACTTTATACTTGAACTGGTTAAAATGGCATGAAATCCATTTACCTTTAAAAGACCCTGCAGTGCTGCCATGCAGTGCCCTGCCATTTTGTTGTGGTTGTTGTTAAGGGATTAATTAATTTCCATAATAGTCTTTACTTTCAACTCAGGAGAATGTTAACTTTGTGCTTTTTTGGGACAATTATGGATGTGAGTCTCCTTAATCTTCCATGTAACCTACTAAACCACAAGTTCTCAAATTAACCAAATTGGAAGTTGGAGGAAAAATTCAACTATGCATTTTTTGAGTGAAGGATAGTCATCACTTCATTCTCTGACACAATGTAATGTTGAACCCAGTTGGTATGTCTTTCAAAACTGACATGGAGTCTGTTCTTTGACTGCACAGTAGTGTGTGTGTGTGTGTGTGTGTGCATGCACACACACATGCATACAAATGCATGTTTTCTGTTTTAAGACTATTACTTCTCTTTGAAACAGAATACCCTGGATAAGTTATAGATGGATATTATGGGTTTAACCCAACTAATTATAAAAAAGCGAACCCTCCTTACCAGCTGGGCTCTTCCTAGTTCCTAATTCTCATTCTGCTACACAGCAAGGAAACACTAGGATACAGAGCTGTTTTAACTTGAAAAAGAGCTCCATGTCACACAATAAAATGATATTTTAGTTTTACATTGTAGACTAGAATGTATAGTGTAAATGATTCCTTGGTTCAGAAAAAATATACAATATTAATATATGCTTATTAAATAAATACAGTTGTATACCACTTGGTTGAAAGCTGTTGAAGACTATATATAAAATAGCCTGCACCTGAACATAGGGCACAGAGAAACTCAAGAACTATTACCTGAACTAATTTTCAAGGTTTTCAATTTATTGTTTTTATCTCCTGTGGAATTCAGGTCATTATTGCTAATTTCAAATGAAAAAGAATCAATTAAAAGTTTTTTTTTTTTTTTTTTTTTTTTTTCAGATCGTAGAGAGTTTCACATCATTGCAAATGAAATCTTCATTCACATAAGAAAGTGTAAAGAGTTTCATATGTTTACCAAAGTATCATGTTTTTACCATTACCCTAACCTTCTAATCTGTTTATATTTTTAAATGTTAACAGATTTCAAATACTTATCAGAGAAAAAAATTGTCCTATTAAGGAGCTTCAGGTGTTTGCTTTGTAGATGTGGTATATAGATTTAAATTGTGCTGGAATTTATATTTTTTACCTAATGTGTATCCATAACTATTTTGGCTGTAGCAACATGGCTTTCATTTTGCATAGCTAATAAAAGTAGCTGATGAGTCAGTCTAATGATATTGCTTTATGCTTCCTTAGAGTCTTTCATCTGCAGCTCACTAAATGCTTTGTAAACATTAATTAAACATCACAACACACACTGGAGGAAAGGTTAGTATTATTATCCTTTTATGGGGAAACATATATAGAGGGCTTAGGTAAGGCAAATATTAAATATATAGAACTGAGTTCTACAGGATACAGGTGCCAATAATGCTTCTTCCTGAGCACAGAGAAAGGAGCATAGGTGTAATTACAACAAAACCCCCAAAGTTTATGGGGAACCTGAGTTTCAGGAAACTCAGAACACTTTGTGAAATAAATTTCAGAGATTGTGTATTAAACTGAAGTTTCTAGTTAGAAGAGTGTGTACCACACAGTACGCAAACTTATCTTTTTCCTGATGAAGTGGAAAATCAGGTCAGGATTACTGCAACGTGCTTGAACTTAATAACTGAAAATAGAATCATATGATCTGGGTATTCTAGCACAACCCGATTTCAAATAAGCTGATCTGCTTCTCCCATAAGTGGATTCAGACTATTCTTATTGTGTGACCTAATTTTTAGTTTTGAGGATCAAATCACCATAGCTATTATGGCCAGTTTTGAAGCTTTATTTCTATATCCTAAAATGAAGTGGGTATTGACCAATTATCAGACAATCTGGGTAATTCAGATGGCTGGCAAATCAGTTGTTCAATTGCTAGTAACACAGATAGGAATTCAGCAAGATGGAATTTTATATTTCTTTCATAAAAGGAAGGCTTAAGAGAGGCTTATATGGTAGCTCTAAAGTGGTATCAGTGACTCAGGCGCTTTTAGTTTTCTTCGCCATCCATAGCATGTGATTTCCATCCCCAAGGTTTTCACGTGGTCCAAGATGGTTGCTGGGATCCCAGACAGACATCATATATGTCTTCTAATCAGGGAGGAAGCAGAAAGGACAAAAAGACATACTTCAGCTGTTTGTCTTAAGGAGCTTTCTCTAAAGGCCCACTTACTGTTTACCAACCATCCCTATCTGCAGGAGAGATTGGCAAATGCAGTCCTTTAGCTGGATACATCACTACTTGGAATAAAATTAAAGTTCTTAAAGTTCTATCATTAAGGAAAAAGAAGAGAATAGATGTTGTGTAGGTGACTAGTTGTCTTAGCTATAGCAAGCAAGCAAAATCAACGATTAAAGCAAAAAACAAATCCTCTTTGGATAGTGCATTATATGGTTTGTCTTTTTGTCTAATTGATATTGACTGAACAATATACACATTTCCAGTGTGTTTCGTGACCTGGAGGCACTGCCTATGGGTGTGTATGTGTGGCCCTGGCAAGAAAATAACCGAACCAACAAGTGCATCAGCAGAATTGTCTGGAAATGTTCTTGCTGTGTTACTCCCCACCCTGTTTTTGGTCATGCACTGAAGTCAAGGTTCCTGGTGTGCTTGCAACTTAGCTGCTGGTAGTTAAAGTTAGGCAGGTCCAGGGCAGTGTAAATCTCCTCTGAACTGTTTGATTGTGATAATCTGGAATATAAAGCTACTTTTCCTTTTGTATAACTTTTTATCCTGTGCTCTATATGAGTGTGTGTCTCTGTGTGTGTTATCCTGAGGTTTGCATACTCCTTACTCCCCAGACACTGATTTTGGGAGGAGTTTGAAAGCATAGTAATGGCTTACTTGCTTGAAAGAAGTATTTCATTTAACACAATTGTAATCGCAAAAGGATGTGAATATTAACTTATGATTCTCTATAATTGGATGTGGCTTTTAAAAAGCAAATGATCCATTCCACATTTGAACTAAACCTATGGTCAGGTGAGCTTTAAGAAGAGAGGTTAATTTGGAGACACAGTCTGAAACAGTGCATGTTTCAGTACTTCACAAATATTAAGAACTTTGTTATTTTACTTTCTTTGAGTGCCACTTTGGTGTTCCACAACTACATCTATACAGATAAACAAGGGTCTGAAGGAAAGGAAAAGGGCTGTTAAGGTTAGCTATAAATGATGTTTGGCGATTAGGGTCCCTCTAGTGGTAGCTAGCTTAAATACGCTTAGGCAGCAACAGAGTGGTGTACCCTACATATTTGTGGTGGTGACCCACGGTTTATAAAGCCACCTCAATTTAATTCTAAATTCTTATTATAGCAGTGCTGTTATGAGTCAACTCTCACTAAAAATTTTTAGTATTTTGTTTTCTTAATGTAGATTTGGGAGCTTGTGGATAATTGTCTTAATGATCCTAGTCTCCTTTGTTTCTGTGTGTGTGGACTTCCACTTTCTTCTTATCTAAAAGCCACAACCAGTCACTTTTCAGGGCACTCAGTTTGATGAAGTTTTAAGAGTCTCCAAAATGATGGCTCTGTTGTTACTCCTTGTGTTTGGCATATAACTAGAGTTAGATAAAATAATCAAACCGATGAAGATCAAAATGTCAGGTTTATTATCAATAAAAGTGATATTGAAGAATGTGGCTCAGTTGTGTGGTAACAGTAGGTTTCCTAGGACTGCACCAGAAATAGCCATTTTTCTGGTTGCCTGCCAGGCCTTGCTCTGCAGGGTTAGTCCCTTTTACATAAAGTGACACATAATTTGTTGTGCAAACCAAGACACTTTTGAGAGTCGAAGGGATGAAATGCCAGGACTGTCCTGAAAACTGTGGCATAAGGCCACTGACTTTTATCTCATGACAGCAGCCAAAACAGAAAGCACATTGTCTTCAGGCAGACAGATCCCTGAGAGAAAGGGCAGAAAGGAGCTTAGCTCAGCATGCTCAGTTGCTTCTCCCTAACACACCAATTAGATAAATAAATTCTTTACCCTTGAAGAGAAGTAAGGGATGGTCCAAGAAGCCAGTTGTGCTCATGGAAAATCCATCCATAGATTCCATAGTGGTATGGAATGGAGGGTTTTCTAATCAACCCTGCTCCTAATATTTGCACAGCCAGAGTGGGGTGCTCTAGGCATAGGGACTGAGGAGTGGAGTGCAAGTGCTGATTGTTAGCGTATCTTCTCAACTTCATATTTAATGATATGATGCTTGCTTGGTACACTCGAAATTGGCCATGGTGGGAGTTTTGGCAAACTACAAACCAGGGCTTTCTTTCCTCCTTTCCAGAAGAGCTGGTTGTTAAAAAATCATCAGCACACCACTTAGCCCTGGACAGATTTTATTTCTGCTGGGTTTTATGGCTTAGACTTGCCACTGCCCCCACCAGCTGGGAAAGATGTCTGTGATCAGTGATCATAGGTACATTTGTTATTGCCATGAAAAACTCCAACCTCAGCACCTTCTATATGCCTCATAGGGCTGCACTCCATTGGTCCTACTTCCCATGGCCTCAACAGCTGCAGTGTAGTGTGTGCTCTGAGTCTTCTGACCTGGCAGAGCCAAGGAGCCTGAGGATAGGTTTTCCATTTGGCACTGAGACTGGCCATTCAGTGCATGCCCGCATAGTTCCTTGCCAAGTCTACGGAAATGGAAAGCATAAGTGTGACTTTGATGCTTTTAGAATCTTCCAGGCATTGACAATGAGAAACAGGATTGTTCATAGGGGAAGTGAAATTCCTGACAATAGCCTCATCAGTAGAACCATAAAGTACCTGAGTTTTAGAAGTTAGAAGCACTGAATTTGAGTCCTGTTTATGTGAAATA